>NC_000002.12:30881376-31034127 GCF_000001405.40 Homo sapiens | reverse complement strand
AAGGAGAGAAACTGAGTTAAGTCCTGGCTCCATAATTTTCTGCCATTTGTTCTTAGGCAATTTCTCTGAGCCTTGTGTCCCCTCAACTATGAAATGAGAATAGCAATGCTTGCCTGGCCTACAGCAGAGGATTTTGTATGGTTTAAATGAAATCTGGTGTATAAACTAGGCATAATGGCCAGTTGTGAACTCTCAAATGCTCGATAAATGTGAGGGTTTGTTTGCTGTTGTCATCATGAGTTCAGTTTCTGACATGCTTTTTCAATAGTGAGAACATCCAAGTGGAAATGTTGAATGGGCAGCTGAAAACATGGGAGGGCGTTCTGGAGAGAAATTAGTGTCAGAACTAACACGTGGGCATCACCTGCATATCTCGGGGAAAGGAGAGGAAGCTGGAATGGGCTGGGGATAGGATGGACAAAGACTCACTCGCTGGAGAAGTCAAAACGGTTAGGGATGCAGGCAGGCCAGGGAGGGAAGGAGCCAAAGGGTCAGGGCAGGCTTCACAGTGTTGCAAGTCGCCAGTACCTGAGACATGAAAGAGAGAAGACAGCCAGTCTTGGGATGGGGAGGTATGTGTTAACTACACACAGGAGTTTCCTTAGGAAATGAAGGAAGCAAAAATAGCATTATCAGAATTTAGCTGGAGGATCACGAGGAAGGAAAGGTAGCCAACAGGGTAGACTCCACATGTTAAACAATTGGCTTGAAGAAGAGAGAATTGGGACAATTTCAGAGTCTTGTGTTGAGATTTCAGAGCTCTTTATTTGTGTGGTTCTGCTGTTAGTAGAAGTGCCAGGGCCATGAGGAAAGCCACTAGGAAGACAAGGACCTCATCTTATGCCTGCCTCTGGTGCTCTGAGTTTTGCAAAGGGGGAGCTATACCACACGTGACAGATAGGTGGGAGCCCTTGTCCATAGAAGCAGGAGAGAGATACCTAGCAAATCAGAGAAACCCTGGGGTGTCTGTCAGTCACTTTTCAATGACTTGAGCCTGAGTATTGGGAGAAGCAGCCCACTCAAGCCAGCAGAGCTCATTTTGGAGGCTTGATTCTTCTCCAGCATCTGCCCTCTCCCCTGTGGTGCCAGCCAGAGTGTGCCCAGTTTCAGGACCCTAGGATGTTCACTGATGACAGTATGGTGCTAAACTTAGGCTGGGGTGTGATTCCAACTCAGGGCTGCTCTGGGAGCTGACTGTTCCAGTGGGCCCCCTTAGGACATGGCATGCAACCTTCCCAGCTTCTTCTTCTACAGAGTCCAGCTGTTTCTCCAGCATTGAGCAAAATAAAGCCTGAGGCAGAGCAAGAGCTTCCTGGCATCTGTGTGCACATCACATCTTCTACTCTTCACAGTAGACCCGTGATCACTCAGCAGTACTGCGCAGTTGACCTTGATCGCTCAGCAATGCTATGGAGTTGTGCAGAGGAGGGACTTCCTGTGCTGGGAAAGAGGGGGTATGTGGGGATTGGGAAATAATCTCAACAGCTTCCCTGGCAGGAAGATTGCAGAATCAAGTTGTGCACTTGGTCACATGGACCTCTGGGCTGCTCAGTCATTTCACAGCCTTAGGATGCTTCTTAACATGCTTGACCTCAGAAAACACCAGTAAAGTAAAACAGCAACAATTAAGCCCAGCTACTCTGCCTACTTCATCTGTTTCTTGCAGCCTGGAAATGAAAAATACCCTGCCTTTCACTGCAGTTCAGTGACATTCAGGAGCTCTGCGCTGCAGCCCTCGTGGCCACTCTTGTTCTCCCTCCCAACAACTCTTCCATCTTTCTCATTCCCAACCCTGGGCTTAGGCGAGGATGAAAGTTCTGGGATGTCAGTGGCTGGGCGGTATCTTGAGCGAGTGGATCCTCAACCAGCCATCCCCACCAGTTCCCCAGGGATCATGGGCACAAAGGACCACTGGAGAAAAATCAGTGTTTTGTAGGTTAGGGCTTTGCCCCAGGCCCCTGGCTGGTCCCCTACATCAGGGAGCTGGCCTCATTACCGTAGGCCTCAAGGACCCATTTTGTATCCATGAGAGTCTGCTGCCTAGGTATTCCTCTCAAAACCCCACCATGGTTTCATCATGGCCTTCCATAAGAACAAATATGCCTCCTTCCAAGTGGAGGCAGGTCCTCTGCAGCTGACTGTGGCAGCCGCGAGAAGTTCCGAGAGGAGAGGGAGCAGGCACAGCTCAGTAATTCCAGAGACAGAGCTTCAAAACAGGAAGACTCTTGCTAGAGAGAGAACACTGTATCCCAGCATTTTGTGTCCAGCCATGCTCTTGCCCCTCTGTGGAGGGTGGAGGGGAAGTGGGAGCCTCTGCCCCTCCATGGAAGTTGGAATGTGTAGCCAAGATCCTGCACTCAAAGTCACATTTCCTTCTAGGATCCTAAGGATGGTAGCTATTTTCAAGGCTTAGGCAGAGCACTTAAAGGCTCTTATTTTTTTCTCCATATTGATCTTGTTTAGATAGATCAGTGTTGTGAATGTGTCAACAAGGTGTAACAGTTTGGGGACTAGATTTCTTCAACTTGGTGAGTTGGAGGTGAGAGGAAGTGGTGAGCAAAGTAAGCAGAGGTACCAGTGGCATTGGTGCATGAGAGGGAGTCTTATCAAAGGATTTGCATGGCCATGCAAAGATAGACTGGACCGAAAGTAAGATTTTAGTCATCTTAGTGAGCCTAGATATCATTTCCTTATGACTAGTTCTATGAGGTTAGAATCATATCTAATAGTAATTGTTTGGAAATAATGGTCCAGTAATCTCAGAGCTGAAATGTGACCAAGTCATGTGCTTTCTTTTATAAAGTTCCCCTGTCACCTGCTTGAAGTTTTGTTAGGATAGAGAGTTTGGGACTTTCTCCCCAACCTCTGGGGCTGCCTGTTCTCTGGGGTGACCTGACAGGACTCCTAAGACATTTCAGAGGTTCACCCCTTAAGTGATCACATGGCATCCAAATAGGACTTGATAAGTCTACCATTTTGAGAAAGAACTTGTGGCCATTTAAAGGTTATGACACTAAATTATCTGAGCACATGGTGATCGCCATTACAGGAAACCCGATTCTCATATTCGAATTGTACAATTGGAGCTTGCTGGTTTGAGGAGGGTGTGTGACTACACACATGCGCTTTCTCATGATGCTTGAATATTAATGGCTTTCTGGCCTTCAGCTGGGGCTATCAAAATCCTTCAGCCCCCCAGTGAATGCAAAATACACAGATAAATAGGCATCCCAAGAAAAAGAGTTGCTGATGGGTCTGAGCCTTAAACCATGTCTAAATCTAGGCTGTGAGAGATGCTGACAGTTGGTGATCAGTACCGTCTCTGCCCTTCTTGGCTGTCTCTCATATTCCAGGGGCTGGAAGCCTACAAACATTTCTCAGACTTCCTCACTATAAAGAATCCACCAGGGAGAAGCCTGTGCCTGAGATTTGGAAGGTAGGAGAGAAGCAGAAGTCATTGTTGCTCCAGCAGGTCAGTGGGAAGGCTCACGGGCTTCAGCAGATGGCAGACATGAGGGTTTGAGGTTTTGCCAGTGCTTCTGGGTATCCTCCTGTGAATGGTGATAGAAGTGCCACCCACTTTTTTGCTTTATGTAGCTGAGACCATGCGTGACAGTCTCCTGCAATTCCTATATTTTTCTTAAACACTAGCAGTGAACTTTCTTGACTTTTGCTTCCTTAGTTTTTTCAACAATTTTATAAGCCTCTAAGTGCCTCTATTAAGTTCCTTTTGCTAAACATACCTAGAATGGTATGTTTAGCAAAATCAAATGCCTTGATTTTTTTTTCCATCCAGCCCTGGTGCTCGGCCCTGGACTTGTGTGATTTCCACGAGAGGAGTGGACAGATACTGCTATTACAGCTGACATTTCTTACACTGGCAGTTAAGAATGGCACCAGTCCCCACAGATCTTCTTGGGCTTCATCCCTAACCTGTCCACTTAGGGAGGCCCCACAGTTTTCCTCTTGTGCTTTTCTGAAAACTCAAAATGGTCAGGCTACTGGAGCTTTATCCAAATGAAGAAGGCACAAGTTCTGTTCTCCAGCTGCTCACAGTCTAGAAGACACGAAAATAATAATCAAATAATTCTGTATGATATGCACAATGCTGTCATAGAAATGATGTTCTGTGCCTGCGCAGAGCAGAGAAGAACTCACTCGTTCCCAAGGACAATGGAAAGCTTATTCTCCAACTCAAATTCTCGAACTCAGCCAAGGTAGTATTTCATTGGCATTATAGCTAGTGGGGATATGGGTTAATCTGTTGTAACAAATATACAAAATATACAAATATACAAAAAAATTATAGTAGTCAATCAAGATAGAAGTTGCCGCTTTTCTCTCTAAACAGTTTAAAGGTGGTGTAGGGTGAGTAGCACTCTGCAACAGGAGGTCACGTGGAGAGCCAGGGATTGCTACTCCTCTGGGATGTAGAGTGTTGTTCTAGTCTACATGATTGCGACTGGCCATCAGCATCACATCCATGTCCTAGACCGGGGAAGGGGAAAGAGAGGGGCGGAGGACAGCTCATTTTCATTTTAAAGGTTGTGACCTGTGCGTTGTACATATAACTTCCACTAACCTTCCATTAGTTATGTGGTTCTATATGATTACAGGGCAGGCTGAGAAATATAACTACGTTGTATTGTATTACAAATAAAATAAGTCAGTCTTCATGTGAGATTGGCTCTGTGGAGGACCAGATGGTCGGATGCTGGTGGAGATGATGAGGTGTGTGAAGATGACGGTGGTGGAGGCAGTGAGATGATGTTGGTTGCAGACGTCATGACGTGGCCTCTGTGACAGTGAATGTAGAGGTGGCAGGGTCTGTTTAATAGGCTGGCTGACTATTCCTGACTTTAGTTCCTTATATTCCTCCACTTTAAATAAGAGTCATAGAGCTTGTCCATCCTTTCCTTTTACAAATGACAAAATAGATCCCGCGAATGACTTGCTCACGGTCACCCCACTAATGAATTGTAGAACAGAAACTCAAACTCAAGCCTCTTGTCTTCTGGGCCAATTTTCTTCCCTCTGCACGCGTTAGAGTTCTTGTTGGGTGGGGCAGTTTGAGAAATGGGGGCTCAGGGAGCAACCCCCAGAGAATTGAGCATAGGGAAGAGCACCTGAGAACTGCTAATAAATGTTCTCATCCCTAGCCCTCATTCTTCATTCTAGAAAGCAGCTTTTTTGGTTTTTGAACATGGCCAATCCCTCAACTTTAAGCTACTCTCAGCCGTTGCTGCTTAGCATGGGAGCCGTCCTTCCCTTCTCCTCACCTTCGCTTCCCCACTAGATATCATGCCAATGAAATACCACCTTGGCTGAGTTGGAGAATTTGTCATTTTTACATCTCCACATCCTAGTGTCTTCTGCTCCCAGTGACAAATAAATCCCTGGGCTGATGGCTGGCCCCGGCCATTCATTAAGCAAATAA
Organism: Homo sapiens; assembly: GCF_000001405.40. Classification (NCBI taxonomy): domain Eukaryota; kingdom Metazoa; phylum Chordata; class Mammalia; order Primates; family Hominidae; genus Homo; species Homo sapiens. The sequence goes on along the minus strand of NC_000002.12, from coordinate 31,028,690 downwards.
AGCCCAGCATGGGAGTTGGAGGCTCATAAATAGCCCCTGGTGTTTCACCGCTACCCCGCCTCCTGCTGCCTCGAAGGCTTTGCATATTGATAATAAAGCAGCAGTGTTTCTGACACACCGTTATGTGTGGGAGCACCCCATGGGGAAGGGCAGGTGGTGGCGGCTCTAGCTGAGATGGAGGGAGCCCCGCTAACCGGACCTGGTGGAGGGCAGTTGCCCTGAAACCCTGAATCTTGATGCTCTCATCCCAGCAGGGCTGAATTAGGGTCTCTTTCTAGTTCAGCACAGAGCTGGCCCTGGATGGACTGAGAGTTCTGATCTGGCTTTCCGCCATGGTGGGAGGAGGAGGGAGATCTGGGTTGAGTAGCAGCTCCTGCCTGTCATGTCCTGAGAGAGAGGCTCATCATCACCTCAGAGGAGGGAAATGGCTGGGAGACTTGTGGAGCCCCTCAGAGAGGCCAGGCATTCTCACACCTGGACAACAGCCAAGCAACCTCACCTGAGCAACTATGTGGGTGAGGACCTCAACTTCCTGCACTGAGGAGCAGGCAGAAGAGGAGAAAAAGTGTATGTCTGTAACAATGAGAACGATGGGAATCATTAACAGGGATATTTAGCATTAAAGATGGGGTTAAGGTTTACAAGCACACTTGCATGCGTTATACACCTCACTACATATGCTCATTAGCTATGGACTAAGTCAGCCTCTTACCTGATGAAGATGCCACTGATGAAGGCTCCCCTACCCCAAGCATGTGCGCATGCATGCGTGCACACACACACACACACACACACACACACACAGAATACATCTGGGCCCTCTTAGAGTATCATATCCGCCAGGCAGCACTTGTTGCTTAAAGCTTTCCAGAGGCAAAAACTATTGTTTTTATAGAGTTGCACAGTCTACATGAGTACACTGTAGTGGATGTGAATTTAATTTACATTCCCATTTCACCATACAGGGTGGGGACATAAATTGTGATGATAAACATAAGCACGAATAATGAGCAACTAATAGTATGTACTAATCCTGAAAGGAATTCTTGGGACATGCTAATATCACTCCCCTGGCCTCCACGTACCAGGTTTCTTCCTAAAGTTGCCAAGGTTGGCTGATCTCAGACATGATCCCTTTTGTCGAGGATCTTTTGCACTATGCTAAGACCCTTGAGGTTGAAGGTATATGGTCTCTGAAGAGGTGCCTTGGCTTCTCAGAGTAAGAAAATACTGAGCACAGGGACTGTTTTTTTTTTTTTTTTTGCTTTGTTTTGAGTTGGAGTTTTGCTCTTGTTGCCTAGGCTGGAGTGCAATGGCGCGATCTCAGCTCACTGCAACCTCTGCCTCCCAGGTACAAGTTATTCTCCTGTCTCAGCCTCCCAAGGCATGTGCCACCATGCCCGGCTAATTTTTTTGTATTTAATAGATGTGAGGTTTCACCATGTTAGTCAGGCTAGTCACAAACTCCTGACCTCAGGTGATCCACCCGCCTTGGCCTCCCAAAGTGTTGGGATTACAGGCGTGAGCCACCGCAACTGGCCAGGGCCTGTTTTTAACACTCATGCAAGGGCCTGTGTTTCCTAGTTTCTCATCATACCTGGATACAGTGCCAGATGGACCAGCGTTTGTTTGTTTTAATATAGATTATGATGCATCAGTGAATTTTACCTTTTAAAGGCATGAGACAGAAGGAGAAAGCATTACAGGTAAAAAAGGAGTTTCATTCATAAAATGTTGGTCTCCATTGCACTTGTAGATATGCGTGCTGTGTAGTGTACTGGCTGCAGTATACATTTCATACCTTAGGTTGTACTCAAAAAAGTGGGCAGCCCTGGGAAGACTGAGGAAGAAAGGACTGTGGACTTGGAGCAGAATCCCTTTTCTTTGTATATGAGCAGGACATCAATGACCTGCCATGATGGCATGGGAGAACGTCAGACTGGAAGAAACCTTGGAGATTACCCAGGTCAGTGGGGAAACTAAAGGCCAGAGATTGGAAAAGACTGGTCCACAGTCTCCCCGCATGTTAGTGGCAGAGGCAGGACTAGACCCCATTGTGATTCTTGGGGCAGACCCCCTCCCTATAAGTGATAAGCACAAGAGCCTCAGGAATCTCTTTAGAAGCAAATATCTTCATGTGGCTGCCAGGGTGACTTGGCGTCACCCCGACTGAGGGCTAACTCATCTCTGAGCCAGGGCAGGGCAGCCACTTAAACTATCACAGGCCACGCTCCTTGTCCGTCTGGGGAGAGAAGACAAGACACTCTGCATCCAATTAAAAGCAACAGGAGGGTGTAAGGGAGACAGAAAGTAATTCTCCTTCTTGGAATCCAGCCAGAGCATCCTCGTGCTAAGACTAAGAAGGATAATAACAACAGCCATAATTGTGGGAAGAGTAAAGCTTCTACAAGGCCTCAGAGACTTGGCAAAATAATACAAGGAAAAGGAAATGAAGATGGACACTCTGACCTTTGCAGATCTCCTGTAGAAAAGCCAGTGGCCCCGCCCCTTACTGGAAGAAATGTCCTTCTGAAAGTGCCCAACATTCCACAGGGGTCTCTGGTGGACTCGGCATGTCTGAGGACGAGCTCTCTGTGATGGTCAATGTTATGTGGTAGCTCAGTTAGGCTGTGGTCTGGTCAAACACCAGTGTGCTATGAAGATTTTTTTTAGATATGTTTAACATTTAAATCAGTAGACTTTTCATCAAGCAGGTTACTCTTCATAATGTAGACGGGCCTCATCCAATCTGCCGAAGGCCTTAAGAATAAAGACTGAACTTTCCTGAAAAAGAAAGAAATTGCAGTCCTCAAGACTGTAACATAGAAGGCCTGCCTGAGTTACCAGCCTTTGCACTCAACTCTGGTTGGAGTTGGCTTGATTTGCAGATTTTGGACTTGTCAGACCCCAGAATAGCATGAGCCACTTTGTTTAAATCTCTCTTTCTGTATCTGTACACCCATACCCTGTTGGTTCTGTTTCTCTGGAGAACTCACATGCACTTGCCCTCTCATTGCCACCTTTCTTTCATGTTACAGATGCTTTCAACCTTGTCCTCACCCAGCTTAGAGCTCTTGGTCTCTGGTCTCTTCCACCTCCTTCCACCTGTATCTGGTTGGTTGACAAGCCTGCCGGTGTTTTCTCTGCTCCCTGTCTTCCATCCAGCCCTGTCTTGTCATTCTCCAGTCAGTTTCTTTTAATCCACATCTAGACAATTCCAGTGGCCTCCTTAGCTTGTCACTTGTGCTCTCTCCCCATCCATCTCCCTATGCCTGCCTCTACCCGTCTCTCTCTCCATAATATGGAGTGTTGGTGATGGGTGGGCACCTTGCAGGTCATGAGATCCAGACCCTGCTCATGGGTCTGGATTAACAAGGTGGGAGGGACACTGGCTCTGGGGTCAGGTGTCTTGCAATGGGATCGAGGCCTATCAACTTCCTAGCATTATTGTAAACCTTTATGCCTCAGTTTCCCCACCTCTGAAATAGGAATAATAGTGATAACTACATCTTAGAATTATGGCAAGGGTGAAATGAGATGATTCATGTGAAGCACCTAACCCAATACAAGTACTCAGATCAGTCTTAACTGTCTTAATAACTATTGTCTTAATAACTATTATAACTTAATAACTTAACTGTCTTAATAACTTAATAACTATGTAGGAAGTTGGCCCAAAGAGATGAAGCGATTGGCCTGCTGCACACAGCAGTCCATGGTAGAGTGGAGCCACATATCAGGTATTTCAACTTTTGGTCTGGGCCTCCCTCTATGCCATCCCACTAGCCTGCCATCCCTGCCAGCTCATGGTCCTAGAGCCCTGCCGTGTGGGGTCACACTTAGAATTTTTCAGTGGTTCCCCATTACTTCTCTAATAAAATTCATACTTTGGGCCTGGTATTTGTTCAGCAAATATTTATGGAGTAGAACCATATGCCAGGGTCTGGACTGGGTGTTAGGGATACCCACTGGAATTCCTGTCCTCACGAGGCCAACATTCTAGCAAGAGGAGACAGAAAGCAAAGAGATATATATAACCTCTCTGGTGGTGACAAATGCTATGAAGAAAAAACAGCTGAATAAGGGGAAGGTGGTCCAGACAAGTCTTGGAAGAGGTGAGGTTCAGTAGGAGGGAGTGAGCCATGCAGAATCTAATGCATTCCAGGTAGAAGGAGCAGCAGGTGCAAAGGCCCTGAGGTGGCAGCTCGGCTGGCCTGGGGAGGAACCTGGTGTGGCTGGAGTAGAGGGAGTGAGGGGAGAGCAGTAGGAGGGGACTTTGGGCCACCGTGTGTGGGGCCTTGGTGGGGCCTTTGTGCCACCGTGAAGACTTGTCCGTGAGTGAGTTGTGCAGCCAGGAGAAGGTTTTGAGCCAAGATGTGATGTGATCTGACTTGTACTCTTCTTGGCTGCTGTGTGGGGAATAATCTCTAAGGGGAAAGGGGAAGAGCCAGGGAGATCAGAGTTCAGGTAAGAGATGGGGTCAGGTGACAGTGGTGCAGGTGCTGGGAGATGGCATGGAGTATATTTCAAGGAGGAGTCCACAGGGTTTGCTGACAGTAGGGATTGAGATAGAGGAGTCAAGGGTGATGCCTTGTTCAAGGCTGGGGAAATGGGAAGCATGGATTTGCCTCTACTAAGATGGGGAAGCTCAGTAGGAGCAGGTCCAGAGGGAAACCAAGACCGGGTTGGGGCCACACACTCAGGATATATTTTAGACCTTAAAGTGGAAGTGCAGTGTAAGTTGTTGGATATGAGAGGGTTGGAGGCAAAGATATAAATTTGGGAGTCACCTCGGAGTCTAAATCCTTGGGACTAAATGAGGTCAGGTAGGGTGCTGGATGCACAACTGGAACGCTTCAGTGTTTAGCTGGAGGAGGAGAGTGATGAGGGGCTGCCAGAGAGGTGGGAGGGAAAGCAGGAGTGAGTGGCATCTGGAGGCAGAGGAGGGAAGTGTCACAGGGGAGGGATGAGGCTACTGTGCCAACCATGGATGCTGCTAGATCAAGCAGGGTGAGAGTCAGGAATGCCGATTGGATTTAACCATGTGCAAGTCATGATGATTCTCAGGAAGGCAATTTCAGTAGAATCACTGGGATAAAAGCCTAATGGGGTTGGGGCTCAAGAAAGGAAGGGAAGAAAGTGCAAACAGAATTCCCTTTCTGTAAGGGAAGCTGAGAAAGGGGATGACTGCTGAAGAGGGTTCTGGGGCTGAGGGGAGGGAGGGTATTTTAAAGATGGGAAATTCACCGCATGTATGCTAATGGGAGTGGTCCAGCAGAGAGGGGAGCTTTGACAATGTAAGGAAAGAGGCACAGTTACAGGAAAGAGTTCCTTGAAGAGGTGAGAGGAGGTGAGATCCAAATCACACAATGGGTGATGAAGGCCATCCATGCTGTGGTCTTAACCTAACTTACTAGGATTATTTTTCATCCACTGGAAACTTTACTCCAGAGAAAATTGAGATATTCACCATTCTCAATTTTGGTTTGAGCCTTCAAACATACCTTGTTTTGTTTTTGTTTTTGTTTTTGTTTTTGTTTTTCCCCACTATAGCTTTATTGGACCAGTCCATTAGCTATCTTAGAAAACTCTCCCATATCTCAATCTGTCAAAATGTTACCCCTTCTTCAAGGCCTCTCTCAAATGCGCCCTTCCTCACCCCATGCTGCATTCCCACAATAGTCCTGCTGGAAGCAGTGCCTCCTGAGCTTCTGGGCCCTTTGCTTGGGGTCTCCAGACTGTCAGTGCTGAGCTCCTGGATAAGCAGACAGAGCGCATGCTGATAGCAGTAGCCTGGCAGGGCACCCATAGGCGGGGAGTAAATGAATTAAGCTCCCATGAACTTATCCAGAATTTTGGCATTAGAAAATCTACAGAGAACCTCTGTTCATTTCAGCATACTCATATGTCGTGTTTAACATTGCCTATTGTTTTTATTTAGAATTACATATTAGGGAGTACTATAATTTCTTTTCTGCTTAAGGCTCCCAATGATCCTTACCTGGCCTTGTTTGCCCTCCCCAGTTCCTTAGGAAGCTCTATGCTTCTTGAGCAGGAATTTCATCCCACCAGTCTTGGGCCCCCTGAAGCACCCCCTTAGCTCCACATACACATGTGCTAAGTGGGAAGACGTTGTTTTGTAGCAGTGTTACATGGCAACTGGAGGCCCTGTGTGGGATGGGATTCTGACTTGGGGAAAGGTAGAGTGTTGGGGGAAAAAAAGGCCTTATTCCAGAACTGGGAGGAGAAGGAGAATGTAGGCCTGCATAATGGGTCAAGGTCCATAATACTCAGCCCAAGGGAAGGCTGACCCCCAAGCCACTTATTGAGATAGGGCCCAGCATCCCACCATCCCCTACTGAGGGGGACCCCCTGAGGGGTACACGCCCATATTTGGGGTGTGACAGTGTATATGTTTTAAAAGGAGGCAGGCTTTGATCTGCCTGTCATTATTTCTTCTGAGAAAATCAAGTCTGTGCCAGCTCTTCCTTCTTCCCTCCCTTCCTCCCCTTTCTGACCCCCACTTCCCATCCATACACACCTTTGCAAAACACATGCAGAGTCTCTGACACTGTTCTAGCCCACAAAGAATAGAAGACCAGGAGGCAGTATTTCAGAACCACAGGGAAGACGGAATCTTTCTTCTATCTATCTAATTATGTACTGGTGTGTCTGTCTTTGAGGCCATCACTGCATACACAACTTACCTCCTTTTTATTGATTATGACAACATCCCTACAGGGTGGTTATTACATCCACACTTTATAGATGAGAAAAACTAATTTCTAGAGAAGTGAAAGGACCTATCCACATCACATGGCCAGGATGGGACAGAATGCATGTTTAACTTCAAGTCCTCTGACTTCCGGCCTTCCATGCCAGTGCTCTTTCTGCTGCACCAGGACTCAACAAACTTTTCCATAAAGGGCTAGATTGTAAATACTATGGGCTTTGTGGGCCAGATGGTCTGCAGAGTGATTGCAACTACTCAGCTCTGCTGTTGTAGTGAGAAAGTGGTCATAGAGAGCATGCAAGCAAATGGGCTTGGCTATGTTTCCATAAAACTTCTATTTATAAAAGCAGCTGGCTGGCCATGGTGGCTCATGCCTATAATCCCAGCACTTTGGGAGGCTGAGGTGGGTGGATCACCTGGGATCAGAACTTCAAGACCAGCCTGACCAACATGGCAAAACCCTGTCTCTACTAAATATACAAAAAATTAGCCAGGTGTCGTGGTGGGCGCCTGTAATCCCAGCTACTCGGGAGGCTGAGGCAGGAGAATTGCTTGAACCCAGGAGGCGGAGGTTGCAGTGAGCCGAGATCACACCACTGCACTCCAGCCTGGGTGAAAAGAGCAAAACTCTGTCGCAAAAAAATAAAAATAAAAAAAAGAAAAGAAAAAACAGCTGGCAGGCCAGACTTAACCCACAGGTCTGAGGGAGAAGACCCTAGACTTCCTCCAAAGTTGCCTTCTACCTTGCTCCCCTTTGGTGACCACAGCTCCACATGGCCCTTGGGAACATCCCTTCCACACCTCTAAAATGGCCCATCTGTGCAGCACCTGCTGGCTGTTCAAGCTCTTGTTTGAGTCTCTCTTGGCTCCGAGATGGGCATTTGTGCTCCTGCCTTCCCTCCAGTCCCATTGGCAATTGATTAAGATCCCATACTTTTCTGACAGCAGTGGCTGGCAGAAGGGGCTGCGTGGCTGAGATAAGCCAGAGTGTGCTGGAGAAGGGGCTGGCCACATGGGATGTGGGTTTCATTCCTGGAGAGGCGTAATAAGCATGTAATTGGCATTATAGAAATGTGCAGGCTGCTGGAAAGCCTATTTCTCCCACACACCATACTCCCTTCAGAGCAGCTGAAGCTGGCTCACCAAGAGAGAGGATCAGCTAGATGCAGCCTTCATGAGCAGGTGGAAATGCACTTGTCCTAAATGATCTCTGTAAGCCGTATGATATGTGGGAGCCAAGAGGCTGATCAGGGCAAGACAGAAGGTGGGTTGATCCTACCAGCAACACACCTTCCCTCCCAGAGGGGAAAGGGGGACTGGGCTTGGGGAGGCCATTCCCAGGCCAAGCATGAAAGTTGAGGAGTCGAAGATTAAAAATAGCTTCCCCGGGGTGTCAGGTGTCTTGGGTGTATAGATAAGCCCATCCTTATGTGATTCCGGAGGCCATCTTGAATTTTAGCCTTAGGTGGGCTGTGCCCCACTCCCAACTTTGTGCTACCCAGAGAGGGTGCTCTGACTTTCCTGAGGGGGACCAGGGACTGCTTGAGGTATTTTGCTTCTTTCTAAACCTATTTGTTCCCTGGGGTGTCATTTACCCACATGACAATACTATAAACTATGGCTGTGTTTTGAATGGAAAAGTTCTAGCAAAATCAGCTTTCCATTGAGCTTCATTTTTGGTTCAATCTCCTTTTAATGAACATAATTAAAAAATACAGTTCTGTGGACTGAGTGTATTTTCATCTCCTGGATAATGATCCAACACTGTTTTCCTGTGTGATAGCTGCAAAACACACTTCTCTGACGTGTGTTCCCAAGTCCCTGACTGAGTTGCTCATTTCTGACAGCAGTGGCTGGCAGAAGGGGCCACATGGCTGAGATAAGCCAGGGTGTGCTGGGGAAGGGGCTGGCCATGTGGAAAGTGGGTTTTATTCCTGGAGAGGAGTAATAAGCATGTAATCGGCTTTCACAGAGATATATTCATAGGGTAGACTGAGCCACCGCTCGCCCCTTACTCAAGTGCAATTTCATACTTAAATTCTGGCCCAAGAGTAAGCCTTTCTATTGTAGAAAGCTGTTCAGTTGTTAAGGCACTTTTACAGTATCCTTTCACTTAATTCCCGCAATGACCCTGTGACCTGGGCAGGCCAGGAATCATGATGCCCACTTTACAGAGGGACAGTCTGATGTTCCAAGTAGGTCTTCTGGGGTCACACAGTGAGTGAGTGCAGAGCTGGGACTAGAATCCAGTATTCATTCTTTCCTCTGCCTCAAGCTGCCACTCCCAGGAAGGTCCAGTCTGGAAAGACAGCGATAGCCACTTAACCTCCATGAGAAACCCTGGTTCCCCCTGGGACTATCCCGTCATCATCCTCATGACTGTAGGCTCCTTGAGTGCAGGACTGGGTTGTGGGGCTGTGTGGTGGACCCGTGTTCTTCTGCTTAGCTGAGGCCCTGCAGAGCACAGATAGCTTCTCAGAGAGTGGTCATTAGATAAGAGAATGAATGAGCCCAAGTCCCCTCAAAATGACAGTGTGGCTGGGGCAGGTGAGTTAGGTGTCAGGTACTAGGCTCTGCAGTTCTGGAAAGAAGGCTTCCTTTCAAATGAAAATTAAAGCAAAACCCACTCAAAATAAACTCTGATACCAACAAATTCTCAACCCAAGCTGGAATTTAAATTAAGACGACATTATTTCAAGTTGAAATAGAGTGTCAGCAGAAGGGCTGAGTGGAGGCATCGCAGTTCTGTCCTCTCTGAGAGTTGCCTACTCTGGGGCTTCTGTCCCAGAAGTGAGACATATGAGTGGTGGTTTAGGAGCCCTGAGTTGAAGTCTGGCTGCCTTATGCCAGGCTGTGGCCCTGGGGACATACTTAATCTCTCCTGCCTCATGGAGTTGTTCTCAGGATGATGTGAGATGGTGCCCAATAAAGCACTGAGCATAGTACCTGGAGACAACTGAGTCCCCATCACCGGCCCCCTTCACGCTGTCATTTGTGAGGGGGCCTGGGGTCACTCATTCATTCTCTTGTCTAATGACCACTCACTGAGAAGCTCTCTGTGCTCTGCAGGGCCTGAGCTAGGTAGAGGTCGCAGGCCCCACCACACAGCTGCTGAGCCTGCAGGCCACAATGAAAGGTCATGAGGGCCGTGTGCTGAGTAAAATTAGTTTTGCTTTTTTGTTGTTGTCATCCCAAAGAACCTGCACAAATTTCCTCACCAACTCATTTCCATCCTTCCATCCCCAGAAGCCCTCACTTTTCCAGATGTCATTTGTCAAATACCTTAAAAATAATAAAATAAAAAAAGCAGTCCCCAGCCCTTCTGGATTCTTGATATGATTTGGCTTTGTGTCCCCACCCAAATCTCATCTCAAATTTTAATCCCCACGTGTCAAGGGAGAGACCTGATGGGACGTGACTGGATCACGGGGGCGGTGTTCATGTGACAGTGAGTTCTTATGACATCTGATGGTTTTATAAGGGGCTTTTCCTCATTTGCCTACCACTCTCTGTCACCTGCTGCCATGTAAGACATGCCTCTTCCCCTTCCGCTATGATTGTTAAGTTTCTTGAGACCTCCCTAGCCCTGTGGAACGTGAGTCAGTTAAACCTCTTTTCTTTATAAATTACCCAGTCTCAGGTACATCTTTATAGCAGTGTGAAAACAAACTAATACAACTCTTCAGCAAGAGTGAATGATATATGGTAGTCATTCCTCTCAAGTCCTTCGGAGCTGGCTCTTTCTCGGCCTGGGCCAGGGGTACCTGGAGGGCCCTGCTGCCCTGTTTGTGTTAAATCTGCGAGCCTCTGTCTCACCCTTCTTGCTACTTGCTCTCCAAGGATTTCTTCTGCTTACACATCATCAGGCCCCTTTCTTGTCGTGAAAATTGTTTCTCCTGAGGCTGGGAAGTGCTGAGTGGCTGGCCCTGACCGTACTCGGGAAATGAGTGGAGTACAGCCCCCAAGGCCGAGGCCCTGTGGCGAGGGCAATTTTACCCTTGTCACCATAACTACAGGTGCCCTTATTACTCACACAGACATCTCACCCTTGTTGAACAACATATTAAACTATTAGTCTCCATGCCAGTGGGTTCAGTTAGTTCACAGTGGCAAAAGCTGATCATTAAATCCCCTTTTCCCTGCTTAATCTCTTTTAAATTGGTTGCCTTTTAATTTCATCAAGCGCCCTCTTTCTCAGCCATTCCATTGTGCCCTGTGCAGCGGTGCTGGCATCTCTCCAGGTGAGAGGTGCTGGGCTTTCTAGGCCTTCTCAGGTGGTCTCTGTGGACTGCAAGATTTGGGCAGAGGCTAAAGAGGATTTTCTTGCAGAGTGGGCCCCCAGGGAGTAGTGAAGGGTGACAGATTTTGCTCCTGTCTGACTCTCCCCTGACTCAATACTTGGAGCAAAGGGTCCCAGTCTTTAAACCCTTTACTTCATTAATCTATCTAAGAACCTGGATCCCCTGCAGGTAATGATTAAAATCTTGTGTTTTCTCAGTAGGAAATTTAAATATTTATAAAAATGGGTACTCTGTTATATGTATTATTTACAGTAAATTTAGCTGTCATTAAGATCATAGTGGAGTTAGGAGAATTCATATTGGAAGGGCCCATCAGCAATGCCTATTGTGGGCAAGGGAACAGAAGATGGCAGGTATATGCTGAGTGGCCACAGTCACTGCTAGCAGGCCTGATGGCTTACAGGAAGAACATCCTGGCTTGCAAGGGGCCAGGGGCCAAGTCATATCTGTTGAAGGCCATGGACATGGAGGAAGATTAGAGTCTTAGGAACCTTTCTGAAAATGTGGGAACAAAATTCATATATAAAGCAGAAATGGCATTAACAGAAAGAGCATGGGCCAGACAGACTGGGGTCCAAATTAGAAGTCTGCCATAGCTAGCTTTGAGACCCTTGCTTAACCATAAAGTGATCATCACATTATTTGCCTTGCAGGGTTTTTGAGGATTCAGTGAATAATGTGTACGGTTCGTCCAGCACAGAGCGTGGTATGTTGTGAGGATGATAGCTAACACCTCGTGATCCCTTTTGTGTGCCAGGCACTATCCTAAGCTTTGTAGGTAGTGCTTTGTGTCTTGAGTCAGATTCCATAGAAGCAGAGCCTTGTAAATTTAATGAGAGCACTCCCAGGAGGAGGGGAGTGAGGGAAGCAAGACAGGGCAGGCGGGGGAAGATGCTCTGCAAGGATGTATCTCATAGTAGGAGATTTCAACCTGGTTCCAAGGGGAGCCTTGGAGAAGAGATTGCTCAGCCACTGGCACCAGTTGCTCCCTGGAGTTGGGGATATACCTCCCAGGAGAGGCAGGTCTTGTTCTGGGGGGCAGGTCTCTGTAGAAGTTTGCAGCCAGCACTCCTAGCAGCTGAGAGATGGGTGTGCAGGCCCAGTGGAAGGAGTTCGTGTGGGGCACAGTGGCACCCACTGTGGTTCATCCCTCTATCCTGGTACAGCTTCTCTGGGATTCTGTTTAGTCCCAGTTTCTAGGAAGCTCTGTAAGGAAAGGTGTAATCGCCTGAATTGTGTCCCTTCTCTACCCTCTACCATTCATACGTTGGAGCTCTAACCCCCATGTGACTGTATTTGGAGAGATGGCCTATAAGGAGGTAATCAAGGTTGGCATAATACAATCTGATTGGTGTCCTTACAAGAAGGGAAGATTAGAAATCCAGAAAGAGACATTGGGGATGTACACACAGAGAAAAAACCACATGAGGACTCAGCCAGAAGACGGCCATCTGCGGGCCAAGTGGAGAGGCCTCAGGAGAAACTAACCCTGTTCGCACGTTGATCTTGGACTGCCAGCGTCCAGAGCTGTGAGAAAATAAACTTCTGTTGTTTAAGCCCCGTGGTCTATGGTGTTTTGTGATGGTAGCCCGAGCGGATCCATGCAGAAGGGCTAGTAGAGCAAACTCTAGGCCCTGCTGCTGCAATTGTTTGTGACTCTCATCATCTCCTTCCTCCTCTACCCATTCTAGATTTCATGCCCCCTCAGCCTGCTTCAAGGTCTCGTTTAGGCAGCTTGTCTGGTGGGATGATCCCAGTGGCTCTGGTTACCAAGCCAGGATCCACCTTGCATTTAATTGTAATAGTCTCTTCCAATCTGTGATGTCTTTCCTTGTCTTACGTGACCTTGACACGCTGAAGAGTTCTAGTCAGTTGTTTTGTAGAATGTCTCTCCATTGGGTTTGTCTGATGTTTTCTCCAGATTAGACTGAAGCTACGTGTTTTTGGCAAAAATACTACAGACGTGGTGTTGAGCCCTTGTCAGTACATCCTTATAGGGGATATGTGATATTGATATGTTTTATTACTGGTAATGTTAATCTTGATTGCTTGGCTAGGGTGGTACTGGCCAGCAGTCTCCATCATAAAATTACTCTTTTTTTCCCTTTTGCCATTAGTACATTGGAGGATGTACTTTGAGACTTTGCAGACATTCTGATTCATCTCAACTGTTAGCCCATCGATTTTAGTATAGATGGAGGCAGATTTTCCGGACCCTTTTTATAAGGCAGAGTTGCCTTCTTTCTGCAATTCTCCTGTCAGGAGTGGATTTGGGGTGCCCTGCAGAGGCTGTAGTCACTAACTCTCAACTCTCACTGGCAGAGAGTGAGTTCCCATCTCTTTTTTTTTTTTTTTTTTTCCTTTGAGATGGATGTTAGCTCTTGTCACCCAGGCTGGAGTGCAATGGTACGCTCTTGGCTCACTGCAACCTCAGCCTCCCAGGTTCAAGCGATTCTCCTGCCTCAGCCTCCCAAGTAGCTGGGATTACAGGAGTGCACCACTATGCCCAGCTAACGTTTTTGTATTTTTAGTAGAGATGAGGTTTCACCAAGTTGGTCAGGCTGGTCTCAAACTCCTGACCTCAGGTGATCCACCCACCTCAGCCTCCCAAAGTGCTGGGATTACAGGCATGAGCCACGGTGCCCGGCCAAGCTCCTGCCTCTTTAAAGCTAGCGAGTGGTTGATTCTTCAGAGGCCACAGAACTTTAGCCCTTCCCTCCCTCCTTTATGCATTCCCTCACCTGCTAATTTACACTTCTGTCTCATGTTTCCTTCTCCTTCCTCTTCCTTTCTCTGGGGTTCTTGTTGAATTAATTATGGCAGGAAAGACTGGTGTAAGGGTACAACCCACACAGAACTTTGCACTCTATATACATGGTAAACGCAGGGGTGCTTTAGGGATCATTGACTCCTACCCTCTTATTCTACGATGAGGAAATAGGGAGAGTTCAAGTGACTTGCTCAAGGTCACACTGCTAGTGGGTGGCAGATAGATTGGGTCTAGAATCTGACTTGCTGACCTACATGTATCGTGTGTCCCAGCATGCTGCGTTCCTCAGGGCTAGTCATATGGGGACCTGTTCAGGCCTTCAGAAGGGGGCATCCACTGGCAAGCAGCTGGATCCACACTGCTTCTCACCATGCCCCTGCCAGGAGGTGAAGGCTTGCTTTTCCTTCAGTCTTCAGTTTCTCTGCCTCAGTCCTGGGGAAAAGAGTTTGCTCTCTGTGTGGTTGGAAACTGGGGGCCCAATGCCTCTCTGTGGGAGGGGCTTCTCCCTGCAATGAGTTGCAACATTGTGAATTGATACAGCAACCTACTGGAGAGCCCAGAGCCTCACTAGCTATCCAGATCCAGAGCTGATGGGTACCCCCTTGCCTTTTTTGGGGAGGAAGGGGGAAGGGAGATGTTCACTTTTATTCTCATCTTTAGTCAGCTTCTCCTCTTAATTGACATTTACTATGTGCAAGCCACTGCTTTTTACCTACAGTATTTTCATTTAATTCTTAAAACCCTGTGAAATAGGCATTATTCTCCCCATTTTACAGGTGATGGAACTGAGGTTCAAACAGGTTAAGCAGCTTCCTCCAAATCACATAAACAGTAAGCAGTGGAGCCAGTGTCAGAGCATAGGTCTTGAGAAAATTTAGGTTCATCTGTTTTCATTCCTTAAGTGCAGCTTTCATGAAATCTTACAGGGACAGAAACTTAAAGCCATTGTCTGCACAATCGTTATTTTTAGATTGTCAGAGTCTATAACACTTTTGTAGTGTTTCATGACCATTCCCATAGCTGTTTACTTTTAGTTTTGTAATTACATAGATTCAGTGCTCTACTGGTTCTTCTGCTCCATTCTTGGGTTTTTTATTTTGAACCACCTCTTCATTGACTGCATGTGGGAACAAAATTCATATATAAAGCAGAAATGGCATTAACAGAAAGAGCATGGGCCAGACAGACTGGGGTCCAAATTAGAAGTCTGCCATAGTGGATTCTAGTGGCTGCTTCAAAATGGGCTCATAGGTGCTGTCATCCCTGAGCTTGGATGTGGGAATATCACACTCCTGCTGTCCGTACTTGAACGGCACCTCAGCAGGTTAAAATGCTTCTGGTCACATTTGGACTCAGCCCCGTGGGTGTTGCTTCATTATCCGCTGACATGGAAAGCTGCCGCGGGGAAGTTTGAGGTCAGCTGAACATTTCCCCTTCTGTAGGTGACTTGTTGGTTCTGCCTGGGTGCTTGATGATTTCTTTCTTGCATTTGGAAGTTCGATACCTAAACCAGGAAACATCTTCGTGTCAATCCCTTTGTATCAATTTTTTATGGAATGTGGTGTGCAATTTTGATGTGCAGACTCAGATCTTTATTCATCTCAGGAGGTTTTTATTTAAAAAGATGAAGACTGTTTTGTGTGTTCCATCTGTTTCTCTGCTTCAGGTTCACCAGTTTTCTGATGTTGGATCACCTTTGCTCTTTCTATACATTTTATTCTCTCCTGTAGTTGCTTTAATAATTTAAATCTTTCTCCTCTGAGTCCCAGTGACTTGCCCAAGGTCCCACTGCTCAAGAGTGTCAGAGCCAGGACTGGAACCCTTTAGTTGGTATCAGTAATTAGATTTCCTGCTGTGCCTGCACTGCTTCTTGGAGTTTCAACATGTATTTATTGGTTCTGCAAAAGTGTTTTGTGGTTCTCAGTTTTATCATTCTTTATTCCATTGCTTTATTTAATCATCTAATCCTTTAGCTCTTATTTTATTAAATTCATGCTTTTAAGCTATTCCATAGCATGAAGCACGTTTGGGTAATTTCCTTCCATTTGTTTAGTTGTTTTTATTTAGACTGGGGTTTTTGTTTTGTGTGTGTGGGTGGTGTTGTTTTTGGATTTTTTTTCATACTGTGTTCCATTTTGTTGGTTTGTTTGGTTTTGGTTTTGGCCCCACCCACACAGGGGCATGTTTGCATCATTGCCATGCAGTTCCTTTGCATCTTGCTTGACCTACACACCCTGATTCAGGGCAAGTTCATTCTTAACCCTTTTTTCACCATGTCTGAGCCTGTTCATTTCCTCCACAAGGCATAGTTTGAGGGCTGTGAGTTCTGTGTCTGTCCCCTTGTCTGTAGCCTGAGGGCCTTGGTGGAGTGAGGTGGGAAGGGAGAGCTGCACTGAGGCTGTGAGCAGTTTTTATTACCAACCTCTCAGAGAGAAAAGCCACACTCCTGCCTCCAGGACACACGCTGTTTTGTGGAAGAGACCCAATAAACAGGTAACTATAGGTGCTGCCATAAGAAGAGGGGACACTATTAGGTTGCAGGGACCAGATTTGCTTGCTTCCTTAAAGTCATGGTGGTGGCAGTTTAATGGAAGGATGCCAGTGTGTGGGAACCAGGGTTAAGCCAGACCAAAAGTCCAGGGCAGTACTTGCAGACCACGGCAAAGAACTTGGCCTTTATTCTGTGAGTGGGATCCAACCGTGTCTTAGAAGAGCCATTCCAGCAGCAGTGTGAAAAATTAAATACAGGTCTAAAGACATAAATCCCCAGCGCTTATCTGTTGGTCGGCTCTGCAAAGAGAATGAGGAGATATCTTCTGTACTGGAAACTGTCACCAAGGAGTAGAGAATTTCCTGAGCAGACTGGCGTTCCCCACCCTTCTTTGCCCCTGCCCGTTTCAAACACCTTCAGCTCCTGGGCATCAGCTGAAGAATGCCTAGCTTTTCCCCAGTGCTGTGGATCTCTGGAGATGTGTTTCCCGGCTGAGCGTTATGGCAGCCAGAGCCAGGCGGCACGTCCAGAGAACACATCTCAAGGTTGTTGTTTGAAGTACAAACAGAGCAGGGACCAATTATGGAGTCCCTCTGCACAGCATGCCTCCTGACTGTGCTCGGCATGGGGTGGGCAGAGGCTGGCAGAGCTGAGGAGCCAGCTTTGGCCCCCTGAGGGGTAGCTGGGAGGGAGAAGGGAGAGTATCATAGATTTATTTGCTGCCAGACAGGTCTGCCAGTGTGAGCTCATCTTTCAGAGAGGCGCCCTCTCCTCTTAACAGCCAGGTGCCTCCTGTGGCCCCAGGGTGGCACTGGATCCTAGATCCTGTGAGCAGAATTTTGCATCTATTTCTGGGGAAGAAAAGACCATGGCTTCTATTACACTGAAAAATAGGGCCCTGTCTCCTCAAATAGTTAAGGATGCCTCTGCTATGTAACCCCTATATTTTATAGGTGGGAAAAGTAACCAGAGACCCAGTGAGCAGAAATGGTTTACCCGAGGATTCAAGGTTGTGGAGGCCAGATCTAAAAGTCAGCTCTTACTGCCCCATGGACATACAACGTTGTCTTCACTTTGCTACCAAAGTGGTAGCTATTCTTTTTTGAGTGCTAAAAGTATGCCTGGCACAGAGCTTAGTGCTTTACTTATTTTAGTCCATTAGATCCGTAAAATGGCATCACAGTTTTGCAGAATAGACAGCCAGACAGCTAACTCTCAGTTGAGGGAGAGAGGTTAAGTCACTTCCCAAGGTCACAGAGACAGTAACTGGAGGAGAGATTGCAGACCCAGCTCTCGTGGGTGTCCACCCTCCCTATCCCTTCCCTCCCTCCTTCCTGTGCTTCTGTCTCAGTCTAGTTAATTCCTGTAGGCCTAGGCCAAGGCTTGCCTCCCTGCTGAACCTCTCCCTGATGGCACCAGCCCTTGCTGGTCTTCTCTTTTCTGAAAAGCCAGGCCCATTGAAAGTTTTTTGTAGGCAAAATGGTTCTGGTTTCCCATCTTGCCACTTCCTTGCTGGCCACAGTTGATCAGATTGAGAGTATTCCAGGCAGAAAGCCCTATGAGATGGGATGAGATGGATGAGAAAGGGAAGAACGGCCAGTGTGGCTGGAACATAATGAGCTAAGAGGGATGGGGAGGGGTAAGTGTGGAGAGTTTGCAGGTTCTGATCAGGCAGGGCCTTGGGGGCCACAGGAAAGAGTGAGGACAGCATTCTGAGTGCAGTGGGAGCCGCTGGAGGGATTCTGAGCCAGAATGGGAGAGACGGGAACGAATGTCATCTTGAGACAGAGTCTCTCTCTGTTGCCCAGGCTGGAGTGCAGTGGCGCAATCCCGGCTCACTGCAAGCTCCACCTCCCGGGTTCACGCCATTCTCCTGCCTCAGCCTCCCAAGTAGCTGGGACTACAGGTGCTCACCACCCCGCCCGGCTAATTTATTTATTTATTTATTTTTTGTATTTTTAGTAGAGATGGGGTTTTACCGTGTTAGCCAGGATGGTCTGGATCTCCTGACCTCGTGATCTGCCCGCCTTGGCCTCCCAAAGTGTTGGGATTACAGGCATGAGCTACCACGCCCAGCCACAGATGTCGTTTTTAAGAAGGCGACTTTGGGCCAGGCGCAGTGGTTCACGCCTGTAATCCCAGCACTTTGGGAGGCTGAGGCAGGTGGATCACCTGAAGTCAGGAGTTTGAGACCAGGCTGACCAACATGGTGAAACCCCGTCTCTACTAAAAAGATACAAAAATTAGGCAGATGTGGTGGTGGGCTCCTGTAATCCCAACTACTCAGGAGACTGAGGCATGAGAACCGCTTGAACTCAGGAGGCGGAGGTTGCAATGAGCCAAGATCATGCCATTGCACTGCAGCATGGGTGACAGAGCAAGACTATGTCTAAAAACGAAACAAAACAAAACAAGGTGACTTTGGAAAATGAATTGGAGGGATCAAATGCAGTATTCCAGAATGCAGTTGGTGGTGGTTGGGTATGGTTGTAGAGATGGGAAAAGGAGGGTGGCTGGATGGAGGCATGCTTTGCAGGCAGAACCAACAGGACATGGGGATGGGTTAGTTGTGTGTGGGTTCAAGTGATTAGAGTGAGATTTAGAATGAGGAAGAAGGAATTGTCGAGGGTAACTCTCAGATTCCTGACTTGTGCAGCTATGTGGCTGGTGGTGCCATTTCTTTACTTGTGAAAGCCTGGAAGAGGCACCAGTTCCAATGGGCAAATCAAGAGTTCCATTTGAAATCCATGCAAGGTGAGATGCTTGTGAGACCTTAAGTGGGCATGTCCAGTAGGCGTTTTTTTGATATTGTTCTGGAGCTCAGAAAAGAGATCTGGGCTGGAAAACTATATTGGAATCCTCCATCTATAGAAGGTTGTCAAGGCACAGGAATGGAGGAAGTCACCTGTAGGGAGAGTGTAACGAGTGGAGAGGAGGGACCAGGGCTAAATCCATGCACACTTCCAACAATGAGAAATCAGGGGAAGGGAGGAGCCAGAGAAGGAAATGAAGAAGATGCCAAAGTCTGAGAAGCCCAGGAGAAAGTATTCTGAAACAGAGAGACAAGGACCCTCGAAGGGGGGCTTTTCCAGGGGGTAGGATGTTGCTGAAGGGCCAAGGAAGATGAATGTGCCAAATTGTGCCTTAGTGCTGAGCATCCAGTAGGTGCCCAATAAATGTGAGATCCTCTTCCTTGCCCTCTGCCTCCTCCATTTGTTCTTCTTTCATTCTTTCTGCATATCTATTGGCCTTTTCCCTCAGTTTACAGTAAGAACTCAAGAAATAATGAATAAATAAATGAATGCATGAAGTGAATGAATGAAGTGAATTGCAAGTTCTGCTGTCATTATCTCCCCTCCTGCAGCCCGGGGCATTGATTTTGTTCAAGGGCTAAGCCAGATGCAAGTTTCCTGGGAACCTATGGCCCTTGTCTAGCAGAGGGCCCTCCAGGGAGCCATTTCTCATGCTTGTCTGGCATCCTGGCCTGAGCAGTGCCACATGGTCCCCGGCCACCCGTGCAGGGAGCCGCCTCCCCCAGCAGGAAGCTAGAGTCCCTGTCGCCTTTCCTCCCGGAGCGGTGTCGACTGCACTGTAATCACACAATTATTATGCCATTAAAATGTCACATTTGAAGAAATCCGTATAAACAGAGCATTAACAACCGCTTTAAAATTGTAGTCTTTACCACTAATGACCTACTTTCTCTATGCACCGCATCCTCCCACCACTCATGCTGGCTGCCTCTCTTCCAGCCTTGATTTTGGAGGCAGGCGAGAAGAAGGTACAGTCATCTTTTCTGCCTGGAAAGCCTTAATGCTTAATGTGCTGAGAGTGACTCTTTGACAGGACTGGAGACAGCAAGGCTGGGGGGAGCCATTTAGTGAGTGAGACGTGGATGTCACACCCATGCAGATCTAAGGTTCTGAAGGAAGGGACCTCAGAGAGAATCTGGTCCTTGGAAACTGAAGAGAGCTGATGGTGTTGAAAAATCTGAGGGTTGGCAGGGTGCAGTGGTTCATACCTGTAATCCCAGCACTTTGGGAAGCTAAGATGGGAGGATTGCTTGAGGCCAGGAATTTGAGACCAACCTGGGCAACATAGTGAGACCTCACCTCTACAAAAACATAAAAAATAAAGAAATCAGCCAGGCATGGTGTCGTGTGCCTGTAGTCCCAGCCAGCTACTCAGGAGGCTGAGTCGGGAGGATTGTTTGAGCCCAGGAGTTTGTGGCTGCAGCAAGCAATGATTGCACTACTGAAGTCCAGCTGAGTGACAAAGCAAGACCCTGTCTCCAATATATAAATGAATAAATAGATCTGAGGGTTGGGGTTCATCCCATTGGTTTTGACTTCCTCTTCTTGGGAAGAAGAGAGTTATTTTGAGACCTTGGCCATTCTCACAGCATAACAAA
Source organism: Homo sapiens (assembly GCF_000001405.40). Taxonomy (NCBI): domain Eukaryota; kingdom Metazoa; phylum Chordata; class Mammalia; order Primates; family Hominidae; genus Homo; species Homo sapiens. The sequence continues at coordinate 31,007,984 of NC_000002.12, read as the reverse complement.
ATTGCAGGAGGGAAATGCCCTGCTCAGAGGTTGTGGGCCAGAGAGCTTTGGATCCCTGCCACTGCGAGTTGAGGGCAAGGGCATAGGAAGGCAGAGGCAAAGGGGTGACAGGGGTTTTGATAATTTTAATCTCATTTCCAGAATATGGCTCTGGAAATTTGTTTAGATACTCAATTTTCTTTGTCTCCAGAATCTGATTTTAATGCACTAAGGAAACGGATAACTTAAGGGAATCTTGCAGTGAGTACTTTTATAAAGTAAAACGTAAACCAAAGCAGCTCTGGTGAAATGATTAATCTGTTCCCAATGCATCTGAATTGCAAATCTGGATTCCTATCCAGTTACCGGATTTGATTAAAGAGCACACCTAATTCTGAAAAAGCGAAAAGAAGGCCACTGTGGATGTAAAGAAGTTGGATTCATGTGGGAGACATTCGAAATGTCACTCTAACACCTTACATCCTTCCAACAGTTCAGGATGGACCTGCAGAAGGGATCATGCCACCAGTGCTTTGATGAATGGACAAGAATGATTGGTGACACGCGTGTCATTTGGGGAGCAATTACTTATGCTTCCCGAGGTCAGGGAAATGTCCCTGTAGGTCTTGTTTACATAAGCAAGTGCATCATAAATCCCATTCTGATAGTTCATCTAAGATTCCCTGGGCGAGGTTCCTGCTGCGTTTTGGAGATGGCCAGTGTTGAGATCAGGCATGTAGGATTTCTCCCAGCTTCTCAGCCCACTGCCATGTTCACTTGCCACGTCGCCTGTAGCACTAAACCCGCCCTTGGTTGAGGCAGCCATCCTGCCCTATCCATATTCAGCAGGCACAGCGTCTGGATACTCGGGGTCTGCTTTTGACATAAAAAGAGTCCTTTCTATTAAAAGCCAGCCAGCAGCCCCCACAGAGTCCCACGAGATAAAGTCGTTTCAAAGTCATTCGCTCCCATCCCACACCTACATATTCAGCAGCTGACCTAGTTTTGAGAGAGCTAGAGGGTATCTTGATGTCACCTTATTTACAGAGAAGACAGAAAATGTGCTAAGCTCTGGGCCCTTGCTGTACATACTATCTGGGGAGATCTATCCTCCCCCTAGCAGGCGTAGAAGAGAGGGGAACAAATTCTGCTCAGCTGAAAGCTGGAAGCTTCTTGCTAATGTCACCTTTGGGGATTGAGTGGCAGGGCTTAGGGGCACTTGACTCTGAAACTGTCTTCCTAGCCATATTCCAGTTTAGCACCTTTGGGCACGTGGATTAAGGAAGGGGGTTCCAGAATAACCTTGGCAGAAAATGTACAACTGTGCTTCCTGCCATGCCTCCTCCTTCATCCTTCCCAGGTCTATCTCCAGACAGGCACTGGTTTTGGAAGCCTCACTCTATGAATGATCCCCTATCATGGCAGGGACTTTGCAAGGTTGTGCATGGAATCTGCGTGCCTGGGTTTCATCCCAGCACCTCCACTGACTTGCTGTGTGACCTTGGCCAAGTCACGTTAGCACCATGAAACTCGGTTTCCTCTTCAGTAAAATGGGATTAATAGAAGCACCTGCCTTGGGTTTGTTCTGAGTATAGAACGAGGGACATTCTTAGGATAGAGCCTGGTGTGTAGTAAACGCTACACCACTATTAGTTGCAGTAGTTGTCGTTGTCATTATTCTGGGTGATTGTATCTAGTGTGAGAAGTAGTCACTTTTTAAAGCCAGTTCTTTCGCCTGGCTTCCCACAGCTTCCCATCTTTATTTCTCTCAAGGTTATCTTTGCCTGGCAAGAACCTAGAGGGAGATTTGAGGAAGCTGCAAACCATGCTAAACACATTCCTCGTGAGTGTGACTGTTGGACCGGCCATTCCAGCCCATGGAGCCAAAGTCCTGGGAGGCATGGAGAAGTCCCTTCGGGACTAAGTTCAGACGAGGAGAAGGGACCAGAAGTCAAGCAGGAAGCTCTGAAGTCCAGGTTCCTCGGAGTATGGGGTCTCAGGCAGGTCCAGGCTTCTAATCTCACCCAAGTCTCTCTCCAGAATCACCCTGCACAGCTTCTGTGCTGGCTCCAGCCCCCACTCTCCACGTGCATAAAAAGCAAGTTAGCACAAAGCTCAATTTCTAGCCTTCTAAGCTGATAATAACCTTATGTATTACGCTTCTTAAAATAGTTTTCTTGTCTTATCATTTGCATGGCACTGTGCTCAAACTCGTGTGAGATGGAGCTTTGGGTAGAAAACACCTGCTGAGTCCCAGGAAGCATTCACATTGATAATGACCAATTCTCACAGACGGACAGTGAGGTGAGGCACCCGGTCATCTGTGGATGCTGTCAGAGACCCCATTTCTGCCACAGGGAAGGGAGAAGCAGCTAAACTTAAATTGACTGACTGTAAATTGCGTTTTCCCTCCATTAGCATTCAGTCACCAAAAGAAATAATAGTAACCACAGCTATGTTGTAATGATAATATGTTGTGTATGCATTATGTTTTACCAAGCAATTTTTCATGTCTCATCTCACTTCTGAAGCCTAATTCGGGCTATGAAGCTGGGTGAGGGTGAAGATTAGTATTGTCCTTGGGAGGAGGAGGAAACTGACCACGAGGTTCTGAAACTGACCAGAAAGGATATGTTTAGCTGAGCCAAGCTCAGGACCCAGCTTTCTGGAATTAGAGGAGTCATCCCTGGGGCTGCGCTTCCCTTTTTAGCCCATCTCCACTCCCCACCCCCACACACACAACACAGAAGCTCTTGGGGCTGCATTTCTGTCCAGCTAAAATTGGGTTGAAAACAACAAAGGATCCCTTGAAGGAGAAAAATCACAAATGCATAATGTTTACTATGATCACTTTTCCATTGTTTGATTCTTCCCTTCTTTTCCGTTCTTTACCCTTTTCCTTGTATTCCCTTAGTGTCCTAGGGGTCACAATTTGGTGGCCAGCAGGCCAATGTCAGCCCATGGGCATGTTTTGTTTTGCCCAAGAGCAGGTTTAAAGCAGTGTAACTAGGCAGGTATTGTGCGGCACCTACAAGCCATCCACTCTCGCTCACATTTCTCAGTGACTCCAGGTCTGCTCATTCATGACCCCTGCTAGATACCTTGGTTCAGAGGGCCTCTTGAAAATTGCTTTTCCCTGTAGCTATTTCTTATGGCTAGAGAGCTTTCTGATGGTGCCTTAAGATATGTTCCAGTCCTTTGCAGTGAGCTAAGGAGGGGAGAGAAGCCTGGCTTTTGGAGGGAGAGCTGCTCTGTCCCTGATAAATCCAAATCTTATTTTTAGGGTTATTTTCCTCCTAGTGGTTTTCAGTGGGGTGGGCATCTGACTCGGCCCCTCCCTGTCCTGTTGGAGGCTGCTCTGGCCACATTGTGGGGCCACCCTGGGAGGATTTGGCCTCCTTTCTCTGATATTGCTGTCTCTGAGAGATGGCTGCAGCCTCACCCTTGCAGACCTGCCCTCTGTCTGATGAGTTGACCCTGCATCCAAGATGGCTCAACTGTGCACACCAGAGACAGCATGTTTCAGCATCCAGCTCTATCCAGCTCCATCCAGCTGAAGCTGCCCTCTCTGAGTCACTTCCAGCTTTGCTCTACCTACATCCAATCCCTCCCCTTGGACTCTCCTGGGTACTGGTTCCTGTTCTCAGTGCCTGTTCTCTTCCAGTATTGGCCTCCTGGTTATAGGCAAATTCACCCTCCTGTGCTTCCACCCAGTCCACCAAATCCTTTTTTTCCTGAGTCCCCTGTGGATACCTGGCTCCCTGCCTCCTAGATCACCTGCTCCCTGGGTACCAGAGCTGGAGGACACAGACTCTTCTCCTGTTCCAGTGACCAGCTTGCCGCTCTGGTCTCTGAACACAAAGAGAAGGGGATGCAGAAATAAAGCGTGTGGGTAGGACCAGCTCTCTCAGTCCTCATGTCCACCGGCAATTGGGATGTGTTCTTCAGACAAGTGACTAGCAATCCAGGATGCCCATCGACATAAGGGAGTTTTGGGTTCAGTCTTTGGTGGTGGAATTTACAGGGTGTTGATAAGAAGGAAGCAGATACATCAGCATTAGAGCTCACGCTTCCTGGCACGTGCCTGGGAGCCAGGCCCGCTTCCCCAGTCATGCTGACTTAGACTTCCCTGGCACCTCCTTCTCGTGCTAATTTGTAAGTAAATTAATCTCCATAGAAGGTCCAAATATGTGAGTTTCTTTTTCTATTCCAGAAACAAAAACCGGGCTTCTGTCCATTCAGTTAATCATATTATGTTTCACTGTTGGAATTTTTAGGCAATTATAATAATTATTGGAACTTTTCTTCTTCCAGAAAGCTGGAAGCTTCCCCCAAAGTTGTAATGCATGTGGAGCGCAATTGAGACATGGGTGGGGAGAGTGTTTATGGGCGAAGTGGTGGGGAGGAGAGAGATGGGCAGTGGTTGCTTTTGTTGTCAGAGACTAAATGAGAGAGAAATCAAATGGAAAAAGACTCCCACACTAAAGAGGGATCCAGGCTTGGCCTGGCTGGCAGACCCTCCGGGGGCTCAGAGATGCCACAGCAGAGCAACTCTTAGCAGACTTATTTTCTAGGCACCTGGCTGTTGAGGGAGGAGGGTGAGGAGGAAAGTGGGGAAAAGGGACAGGAGGAGGTAGAACAGAAAAGTAAACTCATCCCTGCTGAATTATGTGCTACCTCATTTGGTGCGAGAAATTGCCCTTTCTTCCTCTATTATATGTCCATTCTATCTATCAAACTATTTAAGGAGTGCCTTTCATATAATTAATACTAACCATTAAACTACAACATTGAAGGAGCAATTGCTTAATTCTGAGGAAAATTTAAATTTATTACCAGTACCTGAGATAAAAATGAATACTAAAGAGAAGGAGAGAAACCCCCACAGAAGATAAATAGAAAGCCAAGTGGGATATTGACTTGATCCTTCTCCAGTGCAGGGTAATTTGGCTTCTAAAGTGAGTTAGAGCATAATAAATTAAATTTAGATTTCTGCACATCAGTTAAATAACTCCCAAGACAGAATTCCAGTGAGAGGAAGAAGGTGATAATACATGGAGGAAATATTAAAATGAAGATCTTATCTAATAATCCATAATTGATGTGGGGTCCCTCGGTGAGGGGAAAGGATTTTCCAGCTCTTTCCTTTGCATGAGCCCAGGCAAGCGAAGGGCTGGGTGCCCCTCCTTCCTCACTGGAACTTGTTCTGCACGCTGTGGGGAATGTCTGCCACTGACAGTCATCCTCTTCCCAGACCATCCATTCTCTGCAGGTGGGAGTTATATTAGCAGTATGATATGGGAGCATATGGTGATATGTTAGCATTTCACTGGGGATTATGTTGCACCGTCTCCCTCTCTTGGCTGGCCCTTGGAAAAATATAGTCACTCCCTAACTGGCTGGACAACAGAAAGGTATAGGGGTAAGCAGATACTTTTGTATTTTTATGACTAGCTGACAGTGGGGAAGAGTGGTCTTGTGGCTGACTGGAGCATCTGGTGATATGGAAGGAACACAGTTTTGAAATGAAAAGTCTTGGATTAGAATCTCAGTAGTGAGTTCACTTTTTTTTTTTTGAAATGGAGTCTCACTCTGTCACCCAGGTTGGAGCGCAGTGGCATGAACTCGGCTCACTTCAGCCTCCGCCTCCCCACTTCAAGCAATTCTTGTGCCTCAGCCTCCCAAGTAGCTGGGACCACGGGCGCACATCACCACGCCCGGGTAATTTTTGTATTTTTAGTAGAGATGGGGTTTCACCATGTTGGCCAGGCTGGTCTCAAACTCCCGACCTCAAGTAATCCGCCCACCTCAGCCTCCCAAAAGTGCTGGGATTACAGGGGTGAGTCACTGCGCCTGGCCTGAATTCACTGTTTATATGATTTGAAGAAGCCCCTTTGTTTCTTTGAGCCTCAGTTTTTTCATCTGTGAAGTGGTAACAGTATAACCAGCCTGGCTACTTCATAGGGGTAGTAAAAACGAGATATTCAAGTGAAAATGCTTCGCAGATTATAAACAATTTTCTTGGGCCTGTTTGATATTGACTTTCCATCATTATTATTTCATTTCTGAAAGTTTGATTTGGTTCTTTTTCAAATCGACCCAGCCATTTTTTGTCTTTTGTTCTTTACTAATTTTTATTCCATATTTTATTTTACTTATTTTTATTTGTATACATTTGGGGAGTACAAGTATAGTTTTGTTACATTATACCATATTTTAAACATTTTATCTACAGTTATGCCTTATTCTATATCTAGTATTCCTGTATCCAGAGTCCTTGGAGCATCTAAATCTGTTTATAGTTTCCACTGATTCTTACATTGTAGACTTGTCTTGTCTTATAGTGACTTGTTTCCTTGTGTGTCTGGTAATTTTGTATTGTGGTTTCATCTTTTGATGAGCTTTGTGGGAATTCTGGGGTCCTAAATTGGAGATGTTTTCCTCCACATAGGACTTACATTTGCTTCTTCTGGGAGCCAGGGTACAACTGATCTGGACCACTTTGTCCCCTTCTTGGGCTTAATTACAGAAGACTCAGGTTTAGCTTTTCCACCTTTTGGGAGCCACGGTTTATTTTCTCAGTGACCTTTACCCTGAGGGCAGCCTCACATTTTACCTCTGCTTATCATTCAACTACCCTACCTCTAGTTTCCGCATCCTGTATTTTTTTCCTGGCTTCACTCCTTCTTTCATGTTGAAGATTTTCCTTCTAGAAAGACCAGAAATGCATCAGAACCCTTGTAGAATCTAGTTATGGTTTAGCATGAAGAGTCCCCTGGGAGTATCTGGTTTGCCGTGGTGCTAGATAACAGAAGCTTCCAGCTAGTGGAAAGCAAGGGCACTCTGAGGGGTATCAGGTAGCCAGAGCTGGCTGTGGTCCTGGAGATAGCCTGGCTACATGGAGACGAGAACTCCAGGGCCCCACAGCTACTTAAAACTAGGTCTGTTGAAAAGAGGGAAGACAGTACAGGCTTTGAGACAGACATCAGTTGTGTGAACTTGGGCAAATCATTTATCCTCCCTGTGCCTCACTTTCCTCATTTGAAAATTGGGGATATAGTTTCTTACTATATCTTAAGTTTGTGGGGGTTAGAATTCACTTTAGGTACCCCTCACTCACTAGTTCCCTCTGGGATTCTAATAAGGGGAGATGTGATGGTTAATTTTATATGTCAATGTGGCCAAACCACAATGTCCAGATATTTGGTCAAATATTATTCTGCTGTTTCTGTGAAGGTGTCTTTTGGATGAGACTAACATTTACATTGGCAGACTTTGCGTAAAGCAGGCTGCCTTCCATAATGTACGTAGGCCTCATCCGATCAGTTGAAGGTCTTAAAAGAACAAAACTGACCTCCCCAAGCAAGAAGGAATTCTGCCAGCAGACCACCTTAGGACTTCAACTGCAGCTCTTCCCTGGGTCTCCAGGCTACTTTGAGGATTTTGGATTTGTACCTCCATAATCACATGAGCCAATTTCCTAGAAATCAATCAGCCAATCAATCAATCTGTCCTCTCAATTTCTGTGTATACACACACACACACACACACACACACACACACACACACAGTTGGTGATATTTTTCTGTAGAACCCTGACCAATACAGAAACACATACAAGAATCTGCAAACAAATGGGAAACGAATAATACTTTTATTAATTTCATGACCTGAGACAAGCAAGCTCCTCTAATCCTAAGGAAAGGCTTTGGGTAAAAGCTGAGTTGGACAACGTGGAATTGCCTGAGGATGAAGTGGAGCTTCCTATATCCCCACTTCAGCTCTAAACTAAGGGACCAGAACACTCAGGGTTTAGGGAGAGATGGTGGCACAGACCCCAGATCTACATATTCAAACAGCCGCTTGGGTGAGATAGGCTTGCTTCTAGAAAGTAAGCCTAGTGTGTGCTTACTACCTAGGGACAAATAGAACAGGACAACCTGTTCCACCTGGACAGTGGAAGTGCAGACTAGAGGGCTAGGCCATGGCTTTACCACACAGGAGTCCTGCTCACCAGCAAAACATGTGTGGCTCCAACCGGTGAGAATAGTTTTGCCTCTCTTGGGGAGGAGCATGAAAGGATGGAAAGAAACACTGGAAGTGTTTACGACACTCACAGCAATGCCCTGGATAGGGTTTTACGTGTTCTCCTGCACTGACTGTGCCAGGCTCCACACCATATTTTATTTTCTTAGGAGATAACTCTTCCATGGAAATATGATCTGGTGGGTGAGGAGAAGAGGGTTCTCCTCCTGATAAAATATGGTGTAGAGCCTGGTGCATAGTAAGTGCCCAGTGAATGGCAGGCATTACCATAGGCACAGCATTTTCACAGAACAACATCTGTCCATGAGACGTTGATATAAAAGGTAGCCTCTATGCTGGGTGATATCTCCCTTTTCATAGCACACATATGGCAGGGTCTCCACTGTGTTTGAATTCCTTGATGAACCCATCTGACTTCAGTTGGTCTAGAACAGTTAGACCCTTTGCTACCTGTTTCACACTCCTGTGTGTTAATTTTTCGGAGGTGCAAATCTCAGTGATGGTACCAGGGGTTGGAAGATCTGGGAAATATTATAATAGCTGCCACTAAATATTTGAAGACTATGAAAGAGAAAGATTAGACTAGTACCAAATGGCCATGGGGGCATAACCAGATCCAAAAGGGAGATATTACCAGGAGACAGATTCTTGATCAATATAAGAAGGACATATCTAGAAGTTGCAGTTCTTTAAGGTTGGAGTGGGCTATTTGGGACCTCTGTGTCACTAGCTGGACCCAGGAGGGATGTCCATGGGGCAGTGGCATGTTATGCTGAAGCTTCCAACGTTGGATGGATAGATTCATGATATCCTCTTTAAATAAGAATTTACATCGCTGTTTTCTACTCTGACCTTCTTCTACGTTAACCTGGCAGCACATCCCCGCCTTCTTGCAGGAATCCAGCTGCAGAATACCTCCTTTTTTGGCCCTGGCTGTTAGGAATAAGCTCACTGCTGGGAGGAGAAGGGTTTCTCAGCAAGGAGAGTGAAGAGTAGAGGGGCTGATGGTGAAGGGAGTGCAGACATCCTTTGAAGGAGGAATAGCCCGAAGCAAAGAAAGAAGTTGGCTGAGGAAAATGACAGGAAATGCACAGATAGTGAGTCTTTGAAGATGGTCCAAGAAAATGGCAGTGAGGCTGTGATAAGGCCGTGCTGCCTAATGGCAAAGAACATGGGGGCTGGAGCTGGCTGCCGGAGTTCTAATCCCAGCTCCAGCATTGACAAGCTGTGTGATATCAGACACAGGACTTGGGACCTGTTATTTCTGTGCCTACATACCCCCAATTATGGAAAGGTAATATTGGTACCTATTATTGTGAATATTAAATGTAAATAGTTATGACACATAGTAAGTATTCTTCCTGGGTGTTAGCTGATTTATTACAGGGTAAATTTGAGACGTTCTCTTCAGGATCAGACACAGTTCATGGTAGGATAGAAGCTGTATCAAAGGGATAAAGAGTTTCTCATTTTCAGGGTGAAAAAGAAGACAATTGGGACAGTAAGAGAGAACTAGTAGTACCAAGCTCAGGAAAGAAGGGAGAGAGACAAAAGCATGAGTGGGAATGTACAACAGCTTTAAATCCTAACAGAAGGGAGGGATACACCAGGATTTCAGAGCCAGATAATCTGCTTGAAGTGAGAGGGAGTAAAAACAGTCCCAGGGAAGGAAGGAGAAAAGGAGATTCAAGATTTCTCCTTGAAGCATGGTGGGAGGAGAGAAATTAAGCAACTTAACGGATGTGCCATCGAGCTTTAGTTTTTGATGCCAGATTATTTAAGCAATGGTCTTGGCCAGGGGTTTGGCAGACTTAACGAGACAGTTTCTGTTGAAAAGATTATGTCTTAGTCTTTCTGTGCCTGGCTTATTTCGCTTAGCATAATATCCATCCATGTTGTCACAAATCACTTAATTTCCTGCTCCTTTAAGGCTGAATAATGATCTCGTTTATATGTGAAGCCTAAAAAAAGTCAAACTCAGAGAAGTAGAGAGTAGAATGGTGGTTACCAGAGGCTGGGGGAGATGTTGGTCAAAGAGTACAAAGTCAGTTAGACAGGAGGAATAACTATAGTTAGTAATAAAAATATATTGCATATTTCAAAATAGCCAGAACAGAGACTTTTAAATGTTCTCACCATAAATAAATATTTAAGGAAATGAAAATGTTAATTAGCCTGATTTGATCATTCCACAGTGTCTACATGTAACAAAACATCGCATTGTACCCCATAAATATATACAGATATTATTTGTTAATTAAAAATAAAACTTTAAACGGGATAACGTTTGTGTTTTCTGTTTGTGGCATCATACTTTTGAAACACATTCCCTCTAGGTTGAATAAATTCTAGTCAGAAAGTGAAGCGGGGGCTTGCTTGGGGGCCATGGGTGCTGATGAAGGCCCCACAGGAGTGGGCCCAGTTCTGAGTGGAGCCCTTTGGGAGCTCCTGGGTATTTGTTCTTGTTTTCCCGGGACGTATCACTTCCTGTACCAGGGAAGTGTGGGAAGGTGAGCATGTGTGTTCAGAAGCTTTCCCGGATATTTGTATGAGCCAGGAAATGGAATTCACAGTATAGATACAATGTACTGCAAAGGCCCCATGCAGAGTCAGGGAGGAGGCTGGTGTCCTGTGATGGTGTGGCCAGAACACCCCACACTGTGCCCTCCTGTGGCACTTTGGGCTCTTGGAAGCTGGATGTGGGGACTCATGAATGGAAGAGCTTGGAAGCCAACTCCCAGGGTCTTTCTCTGCCTACCGACCCTCAGTAGAGGAGATGCTTCTTGTTGTTTCTGTCTTTGGTGTTGGGAGGTTTAAATCAGTGGTTCCATCACTTAACAGCCGATGACCTTGGGTCAGCCACCTAACCTCTCTAAACTGGTCCTGCCCTGCACATATAGGGGTTGGGTGAGGATTGCATGATGATATACGTGCAAGCTGCCTTATAAAATATAAAGTGCTATTGAAATAGTGATATTATTTTATTTTATTTATTCTTTATGTAGTGGTATTATTTTAAACACACCTTCACCATTATTTAATACATTCAGATATTGATGTAGAAAAGCCCAGCTCCCAGTATGGGCTGTTCCCCCTCAGGGGGTCTCAGTGCAGCAGACTATGACTGCGCTTTGTGCATATGACAGTCTGAGGGGAACAGGCCCCTCCGAGGACACCTTCCATGACTTCTTTCAATTTCTCATGCCAGCCTGGCTGCTGCTCTGGCTTGCTGGGGGACAGAATTCCAGAGTTCCAAAATTCTGGAGAGCTCACAGCACATGGTGCTCCCAGAAGGCACTGTAGCCAGGGATGCTGGGATGTTCAGCTGCCCTGTAGGGAAACCAGCAGCCTCGGGCCCTCTTGGGCCCATGCCTCTATCTGGTGTGAATAGAGAGTAGAGGGGGGGTGAGGCCAAGAGGTCAGTTGTGCCCACCCTCTCTGGTGTCGTCATGCGTGCCTGCCCCTCCACCTGCCTCTCCAGCACAGGGAGGCAATGACCCACTAGGCAGGCCCCAGTTCCAGCGTCCCTTCCCACCTGGCTAGATGGCTGAGGCCGCTTCCCAGCTGGTCTCCTTGTCCTCCACGTGTGGCCAGAGACGTTTTCTCCATGACCTGCTTCAGGCAGACTCAACTACATTCTGGAGTTTTCTTTCACTCATGTCCTCTTTGCAATCCACATTCCGGCCTTGCTATTCCTCAGTTAGCCATTCCCTGAACAGATTTTTTTTCTCTGGGCCTTCCTGCCTGTGATGGTTCATTTTATTTGTCAATTTGACTGGGCCACAGGGTGCCCAGGCATTTGGTCAAATGTTATTCTGGGTGTGTCTACGAGGGTGTTTCTGGATGAGATGAACATTTGAATCAGTAGACTGAAGAAAGCAGATTGCCCTCCCCAGCGTTGGTGGCCCCGTCTAATTCACTGAAGGTCTGAAAAGAGCAAAAAGGCTAAGAGGGAATTCCTCCTGCTGATGTCTTTGAGCTGCGACATGGCTTTTCCTGCGTTCAGACTCCACTGGAAACATCAGCTCTTGCTGGATCTCCAGCACCACAGATCCTGGGACTTGTCAGCCTCCATAATCACATAAGCCAATTCCTATTTATAATACATATTTTTCTGTGTCAACTTAAACTATATATATAAAAGATCATATAGTACTATGCAGTGCCCAGGTATGGTGGCCCCTGTAATCCCAGCACTTTGGGAGGCCGAGGTGGAAGGATTGCCTGAAGCTAGGAGTGCGAGACCAGCCTAGGCAACATAGTGAGATCCCGTCTCCACAAAAAATAAAACGTAAAAAAATGAGCTGGGCATGGTGGTGCACACTTGTGATCCCAGCTACTTGGGAGCTGAGATAGGAGGATCGCTGGAGCCCAGGTGTTTGAGGCTGCAATAAGCTATGGTTGAGCCACTGTACTCCAGCCTGGGTGACAGAGTGAGACCCCATCTCTAAAAAAAGAAACATTAAGCAATTTCATCCTTGTGTGTGAATGTCATAGGATATACTTACACAAACCTAGATGGTAGAGCCTACCACACACATAGGCTGTAAGGTATAGCCTGTTGCTCCTAGGCTATAATACAAATTTGTACAGCTGTTCCTACACCGAATACTGTAGACATTTGTAACACAATGGTAAGTATGTGTGTATCTAAACATATCAAAACAGAAAAGGTACAGCGAACATACAGTATTATAATCATATGGGACCACTGTCGTATATGCAGTCTGTCATTGACTGAAATGTTGTTATGCATATGTGGCTGTATACATATGCACATGAACACACACACACACACACACACACACACACACACACACACACACACAACATTGGTTCTGCTTGTCTAGAGGACCCTGACTAATATACTGCCTTTTATCTGGCTTTTTGCTACATACTTATTTTCCCTCTCTATCCTCCCTTAAGCAAAGTAAGATCCCTACTCATCCTTCAAGATCGAACTCATTTGACACCTTACTCAAGAAGCTGTCCCCAGTTCCCCTCACTCCTCTGCTCTCATAGCCTTGTCATCGTGCTCATGTAATTGAACTCACTTTGCGGTGTGTTACAGGCATCTCCATGCATGTCTCTCTGCAATGTTGCAATCCCCTCGAGAGCAGGGGCCTTCCAGCTCCACATCGCTCTTCTCTAGCTCGGAGCACCATAAGGGCTCACAACTTATTTAGAAAATTGTGATGAATTAAATTGGAAACAAGCCAGTGGGAGACAGTTCTATGGCCCTTCCCATGAGGATGGGATTTCAAGGTTACCGTGGGGTGATGTTCCAAGCAGAGGTCACAGCTATCAGGCTGTGACATTGCAAAACACAGGCTGGGGGTTTCTCACCCCCACCGATTTCCTCTAGAATGTTCTGTAGCCGCAGTATCACAGGACATTAATAAAATCAATTATTGGATAAAAATCTCTGGTCTCCAAAGCTTCATTTTATGCTATTAGCAGGAGAATGCTGTTTTTAAAAAGGAGGTAACAGAGAGAGAGAGATCAATTACTGGATAAGCTCACCATGGTGCCCAGATGAACATGCACACTGGCCAGCAGCCCCTCTTAACCTGCCACGTGGGCCAAGCCCCTGCACTGCTGTCTGTGGAGCCTGCCCTGGGCCACCCTGGTCAGGTTTCCCGAGTGCAGGAGGTGCATTCTACTCAGTAATGGGATGGGCAGCTCTCAGCTCAGTGCCCTTAGTTAGTACCCATGCAGCTTGAGACACTTGCACGGCCACTGGGTTCAGTAACACATGAATGAGCATCCCACCCTCAGGGACAATGTCAGCCCCAGCATACCAACAACCCTCATGTTCCAATCAGAACCTGATCAGCACTTTCTTCCTGGAAACACAGAGTCTTATGTTTTATGAACTTGAAAGTTCTGAGCTGTTTTAGATACAGACCAGCTCCTCCCCAGGGGTGAGAGTGCTAACATGCATTGGGAAGTGACCACCAAATTTAAGTGTCCAGCTTCTCAAGGCCTTGAAGTCCACACCTCCTGCTAGCTATGTGGACAGTCTGTTGGCTGTGGAACCGGTGTGGGCAGGGCAGACCCACACTAGGCAGCCTGGGCTGTGGCTAGGAGGCATTCCCTTGCCTCCTCTGCTGGAGGGGCCACAGAGACTGAGCTCTGCTTTGAGCTCTGCCCCTTCCCACCTGTGTGACCTCAGACAAGCCAGTCAACCTTTTGGAACTTCATCTTCCCTACTCAGTTCAGAAGGTTTGGGTGAAGATGAAATGAGATCATGAATACAGAAGCCACCTTACAATTCTGAAGTGCTCTATCCATGTACGGTGAGGGTTGTTACTCACTCCCCCATTGATGCTTCTTAAAAATACCAGATTCCTGGGTAGGAGGAAGAAAGGAACAGATAGGGTGGTGGTGAGTAGCACACCACTGTAGACGGAACTCCTCCTTCCTTCCCATCGCTGGCCCTTCTACAGCAGAGGAGGAATGACAGTCATTCATGAAACTCTGTGCCAGCCATGGGGCAAGCACTTTCATACCAGGTATTCTCAGATTGCCCTGGAGAGATGGCCTCTGGGGTTGGGATACTAGAATTGAAGTTCCAGTTCTGCCATTTCCTAACTGTGGGATCTTGGGCAAGGTACTTACCTCTCCAGGCTGTTATCTCATCTGTATAATAAGGGTATGCACAGCATCCCTCTCATAGAATTGCTCTGAGAACTACATGAAGTAATGTGAGTCAAGATCCTAGAACAGCACCCAGTATATAGAAGTGCTCAGAAAATGGTGGCAGCCATCGTTGTCATAGTTCTGTTTTTATTGTTGCTGATGGTTTAGTTTATGTTCTGCTTCTGACCCCATCTTTGAGCCAAACCTTGCCAGAATAAGCCTGGTCTCTGGGGTTGGGTACTGATAGGCAGACGGGGGCTAGTGGAGGACAGGGAGCCGTTCTCACAGACTTCCCATTCGTGTCACGCAGCCTTCGGACGCTGACTGGGACGACCTGTGGGACCAGTTTGATGAGCGGCGGTATCTGAATGCCAAAAAGTGGCGCGTTGGTGACGACCCCTATAAGCTGTATGCTTTCAACCAGCGGGAGAGTGAGCGGATCTCCAGCAATCGGGCCATCCCGGACACTCGCCATCTGAGGTACTTCCTCCTTCTCCCACTCTGTTACCCCCGCAGTCAAAAGAGATCAACAGCAGGCTTGATCTGGGGCCTGCTGTATGCAGCACCAGTGCTAAGAACCGGGCTGGACCATCTGCTGCCAGTTGAACACTAAAGGGATTCGGATTTGGTGATTGACCCTGGCTGTGTTGCCTACTGCTTACTGCTGAGAGCAATCCCAAACCCCGCAGGTCCCACCAGGAGGCTGGGGGCAGGGGTGGCCTCTTTCACTTTAACCTGCTCCTCACCTTAGGGATCATTTGACACGAACCCATAGAGCACCAAAAACACTACAGCCAAGGCCTGTTTTTCCCTGGCAGATTCCCACACCCGAGGCTGGGTTCCAAAGTAGGGGAAGGCAGGATGATTGGACCCTGGGGCAGGTAGGTGGGCGGTGTTTTCTGTGACTGGGAGAGAGCCTTCCAGTGCCAGCCGTTGGACATTTCACCATGTGAGAAGAGGAGCCAGCTTGCCATTGGTTCTTCTGTCTGCCTTTGGAGGGGCTCATTCACACAGCTCCATCCTGCCAGCCTTTAGTCAGGCCATGCCTTCAGTGGGTTGCAGAGATCAGGCCTGGAGCTACGTAGAAAGTTTTGTTTCCTAGCAAGCAGAGGCTTTGTGAAGACTTTCTGCCTCACGACCGACCCTTTATAGAGTCATAGCAGCCCTTATGCTCCCTGGTAAGACCTAGTAAGCAGGTCAGTCTCAATCTCAGCTCCTCCACTCCCGGGCTCCTGGCCTCCAAACTGGGGGCCCAGAAATGCCAAAGACCTGTGTGGGCCTTTCTTGTCTGCTGCAGGAAATTGACTTTGCACCAGTCTTAAATAGCAGACTGGCATGCTGAGAAGCTGTGGTACTGGTGTTAGCTTCTTAGCCTCTTATATTTGTTTGGGTCTGTGGGTACTCACATTGTGGAAACTGGGGTTTATGAGCAGTAGAGCAGGCATTTTCATGACTTATGAGGCTGATTCCTCTGGCAGTTCTTAAGATGGTACCCTGTGAAGGCTGGCGGACTCCATTTCCCCAACTAGGTTGCACTACTTGGAAACCTTGTCTTCTAAACAGCATGTATGCTTTGGAGTGACTCAACCAGTCCTTGTTAATCCCCATCATTGCCAAAAGCAGCTGAAGTATTGGTTTCCCTATGAATATAGCAAGGGGGGTGAACTAGATGATATTACAGCTTCTTCTAACTCTGACTTTCTGTGAATTTAACTCTCCCCTCGAGGGACCCATGAGGCTCTGCCTTAGCAGCAGTTCCTGGCAGTCCCCTACTGCCAAAGACCCAGAGCGTGGGCTATACCTGCTTACTCCCTTCTACTGGCCTGAAAGTGTCTGAAAATCAGAGTCTTGTATTATTCCTGTTTAAATTCCTGGGCACTTGTCCTACTCCTTGGCATCTGAGAGAATTTTATTTAAATATTAGGTTATTGTATTTCCCCGAGCAGAAACTGCAGATAGGAGAGAGGGGAAGAGGGAGGAGACAGGAGACAGGAACCTGAGAAGCTCCGCTGGGTCTTAGGCAGGTGGACCCTTGTCCTGAGTCCAGAGGCCAGGGCTTTCTTGAGGGACAAAGGGAGTTCTCCTAGCCAGGAAAGTTGCTGGCGCACCTGGATGACAGCCCCCCGAGAGACACCTGTGACTGCTCCCACCTGCAGAAAGAAGGCAACAAGTAATTCACTGAGCAGGCAGGTACTTGGGGATACCCTGAGCAGGACTAGTTTCTACACTTAACTTCTTCTACCATTTAGAGGCAGAAACTAACATTTTGCAAGGGCTAGGCATATGTGGTGGTAGGTGATGAAGAACTGAGCCTGTTTCCAAGGAGCCCAGCTCACGGTGTCCAGTTCCGGGCTTTGCACCTAGCCCAGTGTGTTCCGTCTGTTAAGAAAGTGTGATCTGCTGGGATTACAGCAAGAAGGGAAGAGAGGATTTAGACAGAATTTAGACTCCCTTTGGGAAGACAAAAAGGGAAAGTGTATCAGCCATATGTCTGCCTCAGGGCACGAGCCTTGCCCTGTGGGAGCTGGGATTGTGTTACTCAGAGAATTTCACACTTAAAGAACTTACTCTGAATGTGCATGAAAAGGAAAGGTCAGGTGATTGAGAATGAGGGCAAGCACATGGGACCAGCAGCCATCTAGGGATATAGATCACCTACTATGTGCAAAGCCCCAGGCTAGCACTGTGAGGGGCCACCAACTGGATCAGCAATCTCCAAGCCAAGTTTAGTCACCATACTGGTGTCACCCTTGTGGTGATGAGAGCTCCAAAGACTGCCAGCAAAGCCCTGTTTTCTTCTTTCAACTGGGCCCTTCCGTCTATAGGATCTCATCTCACACTTCCAGCTCTTAGTTCTCAGGGAAACCCTGACTCTAGGTTGGAGTCATCAGCTATGTCTCTTAATCCTTCTGTGATTCCAGCCTCCCCACTGTGTCCCGGCTTCATCCTGATGCAATTCCTGGAGCTTGCCTGTCTGGGCTGACAGGGCCCTGGGGCCTTTTGGGCCCTGTCTGCCTCAGAACTGAACAGCTAATGCTGCTGGTGACCTGTGTTCTGGGGACCAGGGATTCTCTGCAGCACTACTGAAATTTGGGGGTAGATAATACTTTGTTGCAGGGTGTCCTGTGCATTGTAGGTTGTTCAGCAGCATCCCTGGCTTCTACCTACTAGATGCCAGTAGCACATTCCCCAAGTTGTGACAACCAGCTATGTCTCCCCACCTTGCCATAGACATCCCCTTGAGGCGAAATTGCAGTGAAGATCTCTGCTGTGAATCCACCTCTGCTTTTTACCTAAGTTCTCAAAAATGAAATGTAAATATGCTTTATCAACCCCATCACCAGCAACAGGACAAGGCCAAGCCTTCTTTTTAAAAGCAGAGTTGAATGGAAGGCAGTAATAGCCCAGGGGCTAAGGATACTGATCCTGGGATCAGATTGCCCTGTTTACAGTCCTGGTTGTGCTGCTGACTAGGAGTAAACTTAAAGTTGCCTAGCTTCTCTGTACCTCAGTTTCCTCTTTTGGAAAATAGGGGTAAAAATCACAATAATGATCCTACCTAATTCAGTTTTTATAAAGATCAAATAATATATATATATACTAATATATATATTTATATATATACTAATATATATTTTTTATATATACTAATATATATATTTTAATATATACTAATATATATATTTTTATATATACTAATATATATTTTTATATATCTACTAATATATATATTTTTATATATATATATATATATATAAGGTATTTACCTACCTAATAGTAAATATTTTTCAAATTCTAGTTGTTGCTATTATTACAGGGTATGTGGGTAGGCTGATACTGAAGGGCCAGGAATGGAAGGAGAGGTTTCTGTGAGAAAACTCAAGATGATCAGGCAAGAGATGCAACTAAACCCCCAAACGGAGCACACATCTATACCCCAAGTACCAGGAAAGAGCATTAAGATCACTAAGTTGTCAGGGATGGTGAGGGGGGCAGAGGAGAACAGAGGTGGGTTTCAAGGTCAGGTTCAATGCCAGAGAAGTGGAAGTGAGTGGTGTCAAATCCCCATGAGTGTGGGGTGCTGGTCCTTAGCATCGGTCATAGCATTTCTCAATCCAGGCTTCTTACAAGAATCACTTGTGGTGCTTTCTTTCAATGCTGATATCCAGACTCCAACCAGCTGAAGTATCTCTTTTCTAAGCTCCCCAGCCAGGGTTAAGAACCACTGCTCTAGGTAAGCGCTTCTTAAACTTAAATAGGCAAACAAAGAACCCCTCTGAGGATCTTGTTAAAATCTGATTTAGTACGTCTGAGATGGGGCCCGTGAGTCCACATTTCTAACAAGCTCCCAGGTCATACCAACGCCGCTAGTCCACGGATCACACTTTGAATAGCAGGGACTTAGAACAACTATTCTCAAATTCTGGTTCCCCAAACCAGCAGGCCACCAGCATCAGCTTCACTTGGGAACTTGTTAGAAACACAAACTCTTAGGTTTCACCCAGAACTACTGGATCAGAAACTCTGGGGGTGGAGTTTAGCGATCTGAACTGATTGTGTCTCGGCAAGAGCTACAGGTGATTCTGATGCCGGCTCAAGTTTAGAAACCACAGAGCATCAGCCTGTACCTGTGGCTTATTTTTGTGGCCCAGGTGAAGTTCATAGGTAGGACTGGTGCAGCCAAAAGGCTGAGGGTCTGAGTCGAGAGTAGAGGCCCTGCAATAAGGCCACCACCTCCCCCACACACTACAGCCCTCTCCATTTCTCCACTGACATGACTTCTGTCTCGGGCTCTGCGGAGACTTTGGCCTCTCTGGTTCCTTCTTGCTCCTCCCTCCTTTCCCAGTTCTTCATTCACAGGCTCCATGTCCTGCCATCCTCCTAGCAATTGGCATCACCTCTACCGAGAAGCTCCTACTGTGGGGTCACTCCTGGCCCCATCGCCATTGGCCCACTCTGGACTTCTGGTTCCTTGAGGACACCCAATCATATTGATACAGTCTTTGCCCCTGGTGGGCCTCCTTTGTGTTCCCATCATGCCTTGCAGCTAAGGTCCTACTGATATCAGTTGCCCTCTGGGGTGAGTAACATGTTGAGCATCTCCTACAGTGCTTTCCTTGTGTGTGATAGGAATTCAATAAATGTTGAACAAATGAAAGGGAGGGTAACCCTGGAAAAGCAATTGACCACCCTCTCCCACCTGCTTTACGTGTAGCAAGGAAAAGAGGAGCTAAAGGAAGCCCCTTCTCCTCACCCTTCGATCCTCAGGGGCCTTGTAGAAGGAATCAGGAGAATAGACTCTGAGTTAAAGGAAAAATGCTTTTCCCTTAAAGAGTTCTCGTTACTGAAAAAAGAAGGGTGAAGAAACCGCATGTGGGAGGGGTCTGAGCTTATTAAATTTGCTTCCAATTTTCTTACCACAGTAATTGGATTCTGATTTATAGGATGCGTTTGGACAGTGCCTGAAACAGAGAACTATTAGCTGAGCATTAGAGCAAGTGCTGCCAGGAGGGCGGGTGTTGGGGTGAGCAGCTCAGGAATCTGAAGATGCCGCATGATGTGGGAGGCAGCAGGTGGGGGAGGAGGGGGAGGAGGGGGAGGAGGGGGAGGGAGGAGGAAGGCTGTAGAAGTTTCACCCAGCAGGCAGCTGTGCTGATTGAATCCCCAGATGCACCGGCGGTGTGGACCCCTTACAAGCAAGCCATGCAGGGCACCATGTGATAAAAGAAGCCCAGAGAGGCCTGGGGGCTTAATTTCCGTATCTGGAATGGAAGCGAGTAGCCATTTTTCTTTTGGTTCTTCGCCTGTGAAGTCCACGGTATTTTACGAGAGACAGTCCAGTCTATGTGGAGTGTGAGATGGCAGAGGGCAGGAGTAGAAGAAGCTAAGACAGGGGCAGGCTTTGAGCCTTTCTTAGGATTTCCAGGGTCCTTGGCAGTGGGCACTGAGTGATGCTACATCCAGTATGGCTCAAAAGGTAAGTTCTACAGCTTCGCAGGCATGCCCTACTCATTCATGCTTGGGCTTAGCAACCTTCCCATGCCCACCTCACCCCTTACATGCATTTGATGTGATCTTCACTGTTGAGATGGAAACCTCTGTCGTCAGCCTGTAGACATGCATGTCTCTGCTGCAACCTTGTCCTTTCATCCCTAGTCTCAGGCTAGGTGACAAGGCAAGAACAAGGTACCCCTGAGTGGCTTTCAGCACATCCCTGCTCTTCTCAGCCTCGTTTGTCAGCTGTGAAATAAAGGTGTTAGACTGGCTAACCTCGAAGCTTCATCATTCCTCAAGTCTCCACACAATTATAGATGAATGCATTCTTCCATTTATGGTCTCTTCATTCCAGATATATACTCATACACTGGCCCCCACTCACCTCAATCGAACAAAACATGGAGCTTGCCTGGGGACATCCTAGCTCCAACTTCCCCTCATGAGGTCAACAATTCTGCTCACACAGAGGAGAGACTTCATTTCCAGGTCACTGCTTAAGTCCTGTGAGATCACAAAGATGAATAAAATGGGGCTACATGTACTGGGGGTGGGAGGTAGGTGATGTGTTTTAAATAACGAATTCACTGTAAGGAAGAGACAACTTCCAGCTGGGGTGAGTCTGAGATGATTGTCCAGAGGAGTTCTGCTGTTCATATGTTAGGTTGGTGCAAAAGTAATTGCGTTTTTTGCCATTACCTTTAGTGGAAAAAACCACAATTACATTTTAATACAATAGAGAACTATTAGCCACAATTACATTTCAATACATAAAGCATTGACCGGTTCAACAAGTAGTCCTCATTTTCGAGTCATCCCACTTCCATCCCATCACCCCATTCTGGTGACAACAGCTGGATTTGCCATTATCCAAGTGGTACATAAAACATCTGGCAGACAAGCAGCCACAAATAGAGACACACCCCTCCAGGAGGGAGGGAATATTTTGATAAAGCATATGTATGTTCTTGCTAGCAGCGCCTATTATGGGGTTGCTTTGATTTCAGGGAGCAGATTCAGGGTGGACTGAGCTCGTGAGCCATGGGCTGGAAACTCTAGCCGGGGAAGCCTCATTGGGTCACCTCTGCCTGGCCTGGCTGGGTCTGTGTGTTTTCTTCCACATATTCTCCCAGCCTTTGTCCAGTGCGGTGCTAAATGGCTCAGACAGTGGGGCGCCCATCACTTGCCTGTAGGGAAAATTCTACACTTTGATACATCCCACCAGGAAGACATTTTTCCTTGGCTCCTTTTCCTCCTGGGAAATGAAGGGGCAGTGGCCCAGCCTCTCGTAGCATTTCTCCCTCCTTCTATTTACTCGGTTGGAATGGCTGCCAAAGATCATCATCATTTCTCTCCTTGTACTCGTCACTTAGCAGTAATAGGATAAAAATCTTTACAGCTGGAATGGCAAAGCATAAAAAATGTTCATATTCCCTCAGAGTCAAGGCTATTCCACTAGCTCAGCACAGCGTTAGTGATTCCACACCAAGGCTGAGGGGAGGGGAGGGGGAGCCCATCACAGATACTTAGCTTTTGCAAACAAGCTCTCCCCGTCTGTGACATTCTGGTCCCCCATGTGCCACTTTTCAATACAGGATGTGAGCCTGTTGATAGTGGGCCTAAGTGCCTTCACTCCAGAGCATCTGAGTTTGATCTCTGAGTTCACTCCAGAGCATCTCCTCCTCTGGGGGAGGAAGGGAAGAGCAGGAAGAGTTGCAGGACATCCTGGAAGTGGCTCTGTAGCAGAACTGTGTCCACAGCCCGGGGCAGTTTGCAGTACCATCTTGCCAGGGTAAGAGGGGAGGAACGGCCACAGGGGCTCCTGCCCTGTCTGTTTTCTGTGTAGTTATTTTTGTCTTGGCCACGTAGCAAAGCACAGGAGTTAGCAAGGGCCTCTGGGTCAGGATTCCTCCCCAGTCTTGATCTCCTGATTTCCTTGAATCCTGAGCCTGCAGGCCCCTCCTGTGTTCTTTGAGTGCCTGTTTTTTTGAGTTTCAGGGAGATTTCCCGAAGGGGTAACTCCTCAGACTTCAAAAGGGGACCAGTCAACAACACTGATGAGAATTCATCTAAACTGCCTTAGCTAATTTATTTTCTTGCACCTTGTTTCCTAGTGAATTCCTGCTAACGTTGACCTTGCATTGTACATTTCATTCATTCATTCATTCATTCACTCACTCATTTGCTCATTCCTTTACTCCACACATTTATTGAGCAATTGCCATATGCCAAGTCCTGTGTTAGGAACTAGTCTCCACTCATGGCCTAGTGGGCCCTAGGAGCTCATGGCCTAGTGGGAGAAATGGACATGAGACCAATTCCTGATGCTCAAATGTGGATTGCGCTAAGGCCATACCCTTGCTCTTGGAATTAATACACGAATTTCCTGCCCTCAGTGTTCAGGCACCCAGCTCCTGCCCTGTCCCTGGTTTGGGTGTAGTTATTTCCATCTTAGCCATGCAGCACAGCACAGGAGTTAGGAGCTGTCCTGTGAAAAAGACAAAATAGCATTAGGCTGGCCTGTGAAGGAGAAGGAATTTACACGTGGCTGGGAGGCAGAGGCTTCTTGAAGGAGATGGCGTGGGCTGCAGTTAGTGTGCTGGCGAGTGGGGCACGTAGGATTTTACCAGGTAGTAGGCATTTCAAGTTGAGGGAAGAGCATAAGGAAATATCAGGAGATAGAAGAGCCAGTGTTTTATAGGAGTAAGCCCAATTTACTTAGGGTGTAGAATGATGGAGGGGAGGAATGGAGGAGAATACTCTGGAAGATAACTTGGGGACATGTTGTGGCAAAGTCTTGAATTCAGGATAAGGAGATTAGAGTTTATTCAGTAAACCCTGGAATGCTTCCATGTTCACACTGTCACTGCCTCATTGTCACAGCAACACTGGGACATGCCCTAAATAACACATTCCTGGCCAGCACCATGGCCAGTAGGAAGAAAGCCAAAGTGTGACAGAGAAAAGAGTACCAGGCAGGAGTGGTGCCCCTGCCCCAAGGCTGGACAACTGTCCCAAACAAAGTGCAGGCTGAACAGGCTGCTGGCCCGGGAGCTAGAGCCTGATATGAGAACTTGGCCTGAAAGCATTTTCATCCTCAGGGTGGGGACATTGGATCTTCCACTGGGGAGTTCGTTCTGAAGTGAGGCAGGAACAGTGAGAAGCAGGAGCTAGTCTTAGGGGAGAAGGAGCTGATAGGGCCTGGAAAAGGACTCTGTCCTTCATCCCCAGACTCACTGCTGGGTTTCCAGACTGAGCACCAGTGTGGGCTGCACAGACTTGAGCAGAACAGCAAGACTAGCAGATTAACTCCACACCTAGGTCAGGGGACCCGGGCTCAGAGAGGTTAGGGGACTTGTCCAGGGTCACACAGCTAGTCCATGCTTGGCTGAAATGCAAAATCAATTTTTCAGATTGTGGGTCCATATATTTTATTTTATTCTGTCACAAACATAAAACTTCTTATTATGTCTAAAGTTCACTGAGTTAGAGAAAGTGTGTGTGTGTGTGCATACGTGTGTGTGTGTGTGTGTGTGTGTGTGTGTTTGACTTGTGATTTGGGGAAAGAGAAGAGGTGATAGATGAGGATTCTGGGTTTCCTAATTAAGATGGTTTGATTATTATATTTTAGCTTTGCCCAGAGGTACTAAAATACTACATTTCAGCCATATAATTCAATAAATAGTGTCATCTGGTGTTCTGCCATCTGGGCCAAATGCCTGTGGGCAGGTAACCCAAGAAGAACCTTGTGTGGCTTCGAAAGGTACCAAGTGGTCTTTGTTCTGGGGACAGATTTCCCTTCTCCCTCCCTAAGTTTGCCTCCTACATTTCACATTACCTGGGGAATGAGGCAGGGGAAAGAGATGTGGAAAGAGATGTAGAGACATTTTCAATGCCCAGGATGGAAAACTGATTTGGATTAAATATTTGCCAGGAATAATTCATTCAACAAATTATTGAGTCTAAGACTATTAAGTATAGATCAGTAAAAACAACAACAACAACAAAAAAAACAGACTGAAAGTGTGCCCTCATGGAACTTGAATGCCCCCAGTGAATAAATCCCTCAGGTGGACAAGTGGGAGCTACCTTACTACCCTCCCCAGGCCCCTAGTACCTCCCCACCTTACAGATCACTTTCCACAGGAGGCATGGTCCCTTAAGCTAGCCTTGAAAATAAGCCCTGGCCCGTGAACTCAGGGTTTCAGTAACACCAAGGGCAGTGTGGTATCAGTTCTCTCGCCTCTGAATTATCTGTCTTTAAAGGACAGAGGAAGAGGGGTGAAGAAGATTCCCTGGATTTGCACTCTGCATTCCGGGGGTGCTCTCCTCAGTGTTATGGGGAACACAGGAGGGGTGGAGAAGACAATACTGTTGAGTTTGGCTGCAGCTTTTGTCTATTTCATGAGCTTTCCATGTCCCAGTTCAGTGGCTTTTGAAATCTTCTTGCACAACCAAAATCTGCCGCAACACCAGAAACTCTCTTCATCTTTTCTCAAGGAAATCTTTTATTGAAATATAAGATACATATGGAAAAGTACACACCTCCTGCAGGTATATCTTGAAGAATTTTTCCAAAGAGAACACACCTATGTTCCTGCATCAAGTACCTACATCAAGTTAAAGAATATTCTGTGTTTGCCAGAAGCCACCCTTATGCCCGTGCCCCATCAGAATTCTCCGTGGCTACCTTGTCTTCAAAAGCTGTAGATTGATGTTGCTTGGTTTTGAACTTTATATAAATGGGATTACACAGTATGTACTCATGTGTATCTGGCTTCCCTCAAAGTTCTGTGCATGAAACTCAGCCACATTTTGCAAGACACAGTTTGTTTATTCTCATTGCTGTGTAGTATTCCTTTATAAGAATATATTACAATTTCTATATCTACTCGACTATCAGTGCTCATTTGGGGTTTTTCCAGCTTGGCTTTTATGACGAGAGCTGCTATGATTAAGCTTCTACTTGTCTTTTGGTGAACAGGCATATGTGTTTCTGTAGGGTGTACCCCTAGAAGCTTCTGTAGATATCATCAAATATTTAATGAAGTACTTACAGCAGAGTCCCTGTTGCACCAAGTCCTCATTATCAATCACTTGCTATTGTCTGTCTGTTTCATTTTTGCCTACCAGGAGGCTGAGTGGTGGTGTCTTATTGTGGTTTAAATTTGCCTCTCCCTGCTGCAATGAAGTGGCACACATTTTCCTAAGTTTCTTGACCGTTTGCATACCCGAGCAAGCGTTTTGCCCCTTCTCTCTGCATCTGTCTATGCCTTTTGCCCAAGAACCAGGCACAGAGGGCCTGGCTGTCAGTTCCCCCCTCAGTAACCTGCCTTTCTTCTGGATATTTTTTGCCATTTTGTCCAACATTGTGAGGCAGCATGATAAAGTAAGGGGAAGAAATAACTGGCCTGAGCCTGCGAAAGTGCATGCCCTTTCTAAGATACTGCCCAACAATGCCTTCAGCTCCCTGGGTGTCTGTTTCCTCCCACGTAACATGAGAGAAGTAAGCCAGAGATGCTTATTAAGGTCAGTTCCAGCTCTGTCTGCTGGTTTGAAAATACTTCTGCCGGTAAAAGCATGCGGAAACTGGCTTAGGTACTAAGTAAGTTGGACGCTATTTCCAGAAACATGAAGCCCTCCTGCTCGGCAGTGGTGCCCCTCCCCCTGCCCTGGATTACTCTTTCCCCTCGCAGACTTCCCTTCCTAACAGGACTCCAGGGCCCTGCAGAGCATCAGAGCCCTTTTTATTGCCACCTTGTCCATTTCTTCATGCAGGCCTTCTCCACCCTCTCATGCCCTCCACGCAGTGCAGGTCACCAGACCTCTCCTAGCCTGAGGTGCACATGTAGGCTGATTTGACATGTCTTCTCACTTATCTGAAAGCCCCGGACCTATTAAACACAGCAGCAGCAGAGATGCTTGCTCCTGGAGTTGGCACATCACGTAGAAGGCAGTTTGACTGCAAACATTGGTGACCTGCCCACATTTTTCAGTCTAGAATAAGGAGCTGAAACACACAGATGTCTTCCCTTTAAAACCTGGATCACTGTCAAGTTCCATTACCATTTGCCCCCAAGTGCTTCAAAGAACCACTGGCTCTTATGATATAACACATGTGCCTCTACTGCCAGGAAGAAATAGGGCTGGTAGGATTGGCTTGAGGAAATTTCAAGGAGGCTCTGTGCTGGGACGAAGGTCCTGGGATAATTCCTACAGGAGAGGATGAACCATGCAGTAAGCCCTTAGAGTAAGACTCTTCATGCCTTGTATTTCTTTAGCCCAGGCTGGAGTGAAGTGGCCTAATCTCGAACCACGGTGCCCCCAGGTTCAAGCGGTTCTCCTGCCTCAGCCTCCTGAGTAGCTTGGATTTTAGATGCCTGTCACCAAGCCCAGCTAATCTTAGTAGAGACGGGGTTTTGCCATGTTGGCCAGGCTGGTCTTGAACTCCTGACCTCAGGTGATCCACCTGCCTTGGCCTCCCAAAGTGCTGGGATTACAGGCGTGAGCCACCGCGCTCGGCCCATGCCTTGTATTTCTATAGGACTTCACGAAGTGCTTTCCCAGCTCTTTCTCATGTCCTCAGTAGCCCTTTGGGTGAAGAGGTCATTGCCATTTCACAGAGAAGGAAGCTGAGACCCAGGCAACGTAACTGGTTGACTGAGTGGCTGGGCTAGGTCTCCTAGCCCTGTGAGCTTTGACATACAACATCTCTGTCACTTACTAGCTGGACCATGGGTGAGTTACTCAAACTCCCAGAGACCCCATTTCTTCATCTGTAAAATGGGAATAATAATGGTCCTCAGGGTGAGGTGAAATAATTGATGTCAAATGCCGAGCCTCATCTTTAACCTCTAGTAAGCACTTGGTGACTGTTTGCTAGCTGTGGCCCTGAGTAGTCAAGTTAGTACTGGCATCAGGAGGGCAGCTGGGGCCTGCTGCAGTCACCCAGGCAAGAGGGGGCATCAGGACCAGCAACAGTTCTGGTTTCATCATCTTTCCTGCTGCTCCGCAGCTGTGGGCCAAAGCAGGTCTGGAAGGCAGGGCAGACAGGTAACAGGGCCAGGGGTGGAGAAACGGGTGACATGGATGAATGTAGAGAGGTCCAGGCTCTGCACCCTGCTCTCCAGCTCTGAGTCAGGGTGCTGCGGCTCATGTGAGTCACAGTGGAGCTGAGAACAAGGTGGGCTGGGTGCAGGGCATGTGAGCAGGGAAGTCCTTAGAGAGCTCTGGGCCTCGGCCTTGGCTCCTGGCTCTGAACATTCCATTTGCCTGAATGTCAGACTTACTTTAAAAACTGGAAAGCAAAATGAGCGAGGAGGCGACTGCAGTGCCACATCTGGTGAAATTTGTGCTTGAAAGATACTGGGGATGGAAGCCAAGGCCAGCAGAGGGAGTGATTTAGAGCCGGGGGCCAGCAACTACAAAATGTGTTTGACAAGAGATGAAAAGAGCGGGAGAGGAGATGACAGCTGGGTGGGGGCTGCTGTGGGAGGGAGACCTCTGAGCCGAGGGTGGCAGACACAGGATGGAGTGCTGAGGGCCACGTGAGGCCCCAGGTGACTGGCAAAGTAAGCAGGCACAATGGGATGTGATGGAAGCAGGAATCCGCTGGGGACTCTGTGGATCACTGAGCAGTGAGGGTCCCACTGGCCTAGTGAGGGGCAAGATCAGTAAATGTCCTTGAGCTTATCTTTGCTGTCCCTGAGGCAACAAGAGGAATCCCTGATCTCCATGGAAACTTTATTGTATTATCCAAACTGCTCTCCCCTCCTGACTCTCATGATAACCGTGGCCTGGCCAGAGCTGGCGTGGTGGTTGAGTCTCTTCTGCTTCCCTGCTCCTCCCTGTCTCTCCTCCTTGATTCCTCATAAGGTGGCATCATGTACTCCTTGTCCCACACCTTCCTGCCCTGCCTCTCAAGGTAGCAAACACCCTCTTTGCTCCCGTCTGCTTCATCTCAGGCCGGGTGCCACCACCCTTCAGACTTTCACCCAAGCCCTGATCTGTGGCATCATCCTGCTCTCCCCCCACTCCCATTTTGTTGTCTCCTCTGAGATATCTCTTGCTCCCTGAGATATCTTGCTGCCAAACTCAGCCGCTGCCCCCTCTCGTCTGGGTGACTGCGGCAGGCCCTAGCTGCCCTCCTCATTGACTCTGGCTTTCTAAATGCAGAAGGATCACTCCTCACCTGAAACTCTTCACATGCTGTGGGCACACAGCTCCTGTCACCACCCCAACCCTGAAGTCAAGGCCGCCCCCATCAGGCCATGGCCTGTGCCGACTGTGCTGTGAGGATTCAGGCCTCATCATTGCTGCTTTCTCTATTCAGGATGCCCTTTTGTGTTTTGGGAGTCTGGGTGGAGGGTGTCTTCTTCAGGAAGACCGCTTGCCCCTCAGACAATTTGGCAGCCCCTCCATCCTCTATGCTTACCCTGAGCAGCACCCCTTGCTGTGCATTGCAGACATCAGCTTACTGTCTATCACCCTTCCAAGCCCCTGAGCAGCTAGCACAGGAATGCTGACTTATCTTTGCATCTCCTGAGCCTAGCACGGTGCCTGGCACTCACACTGTCCATCAGTATCAGCTGAGTGAATAGGGGCCCAAAGCGCACCTCGTGATTCCTTCTCAAGCTACTGAAAATATCAGGGATTGGGAGTGCAGGTGCCGGTGAGCGAGTGAATCCTCAGAACAGAGGGAGAAAATCAAATCACAGGAAATTTAAAACCATCCTCGCTCAACAGAGAATTATCCACGTTCACGCATAAATCCAGCGCCACAATTGGCAAACACGTATTGATCATACCATCCCCCTGATGTGTGGGAGGCACCATATATATGTTCTCTCGGTTCAGCCTCACAACTTTGCTATGACCCTTGTTTTAGAGATGAAGAAATTGACTCCGGTAGCTTGAATAACTTGTCCACAGGAATTTAAAGAAGTAGAAACGTGGCCCCTGCCTGCAAGAAGGCAGTAGTTACCTAGGAAGATGGCACAGTGATTTAGAAAGGGGAATAGTCATACCAGGCGGCCATGTGGAGTGTGGTGGAGGAAGTGATTTCAGCGAAACTGCACAACAGTGACAGTTTGGGCAGCTGGAGGAGGGAAGGTAACAGAATCTAGGGAGGTTTGTGGAGGTTGTGACACAGGTACAGTCAAGGGCAGTGACTGGGCTGGTTTAGCAGGGCCAGAAGGCTCCTGCAAGGGAATGTGGGGGCAGGGTGCTGAAGAGCTAACACGAGGGTGGAGGCCTTGAGATGCTGGTGAAGGTTTAACTGCAGGTGGCTCTGAAGGTCGGGAGAGGGTCCTACAGTGAGAGCAGTGTGTTAGGAAGATGGAAGAGAGAACGGCTGTGGAGAGGGTGGGAGGAGTGGTTGGAAGTGACTCTTCTGCAGGCGGGAAGAATAGTTAGGAAGCTGTTGCAGGAGGGCAAACCAGGGGTGTAGATCAGGCTTGGTGATATAAAAAAGAGGCAGATTTGAGTGCAGTATTGGCTCAGGGGTGGATTGACTGTACGAAGGTGCAGGAAGGTATGGGAAGCCTTTGCTTTTTCCCTCCCTGCTTCAGACCAGAATGGCGCACGGATGTGAGTCCCCTGGGGAAGAGGCATAGGACCCTTGACCCTCAAACAGACCATTCCTGAGCTCAGGGTGCTGAGTCTAGCACATTCCTGGAGTTCCTTGGCTGCAGGCCTTACTTTTGCTCCTTATAGCTGTTGCAATTGGAGGAACTTTCCCCTTTCAGGTGAAAGGAGGGAATGATGCTTCTCTGATCCTTTAGGTGGAAAGTCTGAAAAATATCATGAAATAGCTCTAGGAGTATCAAGGGGAGATACTATGCTTTAGCAAGTGAGGGATGACCCACACCCATGATTTTCCATCTTTCCAGAATCTTCCAGCATGCAGCGTTCAAGATAAAAGACAGAGAGAAGGGCTGGGTATGGTGGCTCACGCCTGTAACCCCAGCACTTTGGGAGGACCTGGTGGGCGGATCACCTGAGGTCAGGAGTTCGAGACCAGCCTGGCCAACATGGTGAAACCCTGTCTCTACTAAAAATACAAAAAATTGGCTGGGCATACTGGCGCATGCCTGTAGTCCCAACTACTCTGGAGGCTGAGGCATGAGAATTGCTTGAACGCCGGAGGCAGAGGTTGCAGTGAGCCAAGATGGTGCCACTACACTCCAGCCTGGGTGACAGAGTGAGACCCTGTCTCAAAAAAAAAAAAAAAGACAGAAAAGCCAATATGGAATAAAGGTTTCAGAGGCAGTGAGTGTGGATAATCTTCAAAGGGCATTCTCGTGGAGCTCGTGAGGGCACCGACTGGTAGGGGGGAACCAGACCATCTGGGTTTATGTTGAGGCCCCACCACTCACTCATTGTGACTTTCCCTCTCCACCACCATGAGAAGAGGAATTGCAGCACCCACCTCGGGGAGTTACTGTGCAGGCTGAAAGCTCTGGGAAGAATACCTGAGACAGAGTGAGGATTCAATTGTGTCATCTATTATTACTGTTGTATGATGTGATTTGAGCAGGGCTAAAATAAGACATGAAGGAGCTCTGGTCCCAGACACCAAGGTATCTTTTTTAGGAAACATTTCAAAAATAAGTCTTGGCCCAACTCCACACTTTCTGTCCCAGCTAGGCTCTGCATTTGCCTTTTGAGAAGATTCTTTTTTGCACACACACACACACACACATACACACACGCACACGCACATGCACACACAGCTGCCGTCTGGGTGGTGCTTGGTACCGGCTAACACAGGTCCTGCCAGTGTCCCTAGAGAAACCTCTTTGCAGCCTCCATAGATCTGCTGATCTTCCTGAAGAGCAGAAGCTGCCACTTCCCCCAGGGTTTCCACCAAACCTCAGTGTTCCACTCACTTGGAAGGGGCTAGGCAATGTAAAAGATCAAGATTAGTTGTTTAGAAAAACAGAAGGATCCTGGTGCATTGGAGTAATGGCCATTTCTAGGAGGTCTTTAAATGCAGCCAGAGGAGTCTACGTTCTTTAAGTCATGTGGTCCTTCTGAGCCCAGATTGCACGAGTCAGTACAGGCAGCAGAACTGCCTGAGGAGGTAGATTGGGGCCAGAGATTGAAAAACCCTGTCAACTTGCTATCCTGAGCAGCACTGAGAGCTGAGATGGATCTGCTGGTTCCAGAACAAAGAGTGGGAGATGTCTGGCCTTCTGTGTTCAGTAATTATGTTTTTTGCTGAGAGTAGTCAAAGGCTTGTCATAATTCAGTGGAACAAACCCTTGAACAGTTCTTTCAGATGCCAGTTGGTAAATGAATGCAGGTATGATCCATGGAATTGGGGAAGAGAGGAGACAGGAGGGAGATTTTCTAAATTTTACAATTTCAAGCTAAATTTTACAATTTAAAGAGTTGTTAATTATTCTGAGATTGTGGCCTTTTCTGGTGTTTAAATACTCTTTCTTTTTGAAATGATGATGATGGTAAATGATGGGATTTTAAAAATACATACTTTCTCACAAAGTAAAATGTCACGAACTTAATTACTGTCTCTATAATGTTTTTATTTTATTTTACTCATACCAGAAAACCAAGACCTAGAAACCATTATCCAGCAGTAACATTGAAATTTTAATTTGTATTATATACCAATTAAAGTTCAGGGACAACTTAGGACAATGATTTCCAATAGAAATAGATGTGAGCTGCATATTATTTAAAATTTTCCAGTAGTCACATTAAAAAAGGTAAAAGAAGTGAAATTAATTTTAGTAATAGATTTGATTTACTCCAATGTATCCAGATACTAACATTTTGACATGTGATCAATTTTAAAAAAGATAAGTAAAATAGTTCACCTTTGTTTCATACTAAGTGCTTGACATCTTGGGCATATTTTACATTTACAGCATATCTCCATTCAGAGCAGACACATTTACAGTGCTCAGTAACTGCATGTGGCTCATGGCTGCCCTACTGCATAATGCATGTCTAGGAGAAGAGGGTGTCTGGGCCTCAGTCTGTCGAAGGCTTCAGTCTTTCCCCTCTTGCTTCATCATCGACATTTTTCATCATTCTTGGAACTTTGGTAAACAAGAACATCCCAGCCTTTTAAACACAGTTGAGTATTTCCAGCATAACAGACAAAACTTAAGACCTCTCCACGGACACCAGATGCCACCTGATATTCCCCAGGACACCCTTAGCCCAAGGCTTCTTATCGCCAGCCCCCTCCCCAACTCATGGCTCCATACTTCAGCTTCCAGATTCTTCTTCAGTTTGGGCAATTTCTTTGGTCTCTCTTTGCTGTATCACTGACCTTGGCCTTTGCTCAGCTTTTACTGCTCTGGAGCTCCCTGTGAGGGTGTCACCCATAGCTTGGCAAAGGACATTTTCCTCTCCAGCTTTGACCCCAAGTAAGCCTCACCTGCCTCCCACCTTCACTTATCCCTCCACTCATTCTTCAGACATTTATCGTATGTCTAGTATGTTTAGTCATCATCCTGGGTATTGAGGTTACAACTACAAATAAGTCCTTGCCTTCACTGCAGCAACAGTCGGTAGAGGAGACAGAAAAGTAATTTCACAGTGCTTGGTAATAAATTACAGCAATGGGGTGAACACAGGGTCCTAAAGAGGCACGTTGGAAAAGCCTTGGGAGACTGAAATGCTTCCCAGGGGAAGTAACTTCCAAGCCAAGATTAGAAGAGGAAAAAATAGCCTGGCGTTGGAAGCGAGGAGAGTGCATTTCAGATATATGGGAGAGAGACAGCACTTGCAAAGTTCCAGAGGGGACAAAGAGCAGGTGAAGCAGAATGTGGCTAGAACTTTGAGAGTGCAGAGGGCAGGAGTCAGAAGTGGTGCCAGGCCACTAAGGATGGTGAGCCATGATTAAGAGTCTCAGTTTGATTTTGTGAGCAGTTGAGCAGCATTGAAAGAGGTTAAAGACGCAGTTCTGGAAAGATCATTCTAGCTGCAGCATGCAGGGTAGATTGAAAAGGGATACAGCCAGAGAGGAAGTTGCTGCAGTAATCTAGAAAAGACAGAATGGAAGTGGAGAGAAACAGCCAGATGGAGAGATAAAGAAGACAAATGCACAAGACTACATTTAATCACATTGGGTCTGGGGCAGAAAGAGGCAGGATTAGAGAATATCTCTTGGTTTTGGCACATAGTGCATAGTGAGCTGGGGAACTCAGGAGGGTCAGCAGGCTTGGCTGAGGTGTGGGAAGCAGAGGGTGGATGACAAGGTCATCTCATGGGGTCATTCAAGAGAAGATGCTCATCAGGGTTAGTGTTAGAGGTTAAAGGAGGTAGGCACTGGGAACTCTTTGAAAGCTGCCCACCAGAGCACCCGACCAAGTTCCTAAGCAGTTCACTTCTCTATTCTGACCCACTTATTCCCTTTCTAGACCACTGGAATTAATAATATGTTCAGCACTTCAAAGGTGGTGATATAATGGAATAGCGAATCTCACTGTTATGTTAAGGGTCTTTTCTGAGACACAGGATTTCTGTAACCAAAGTGAGGGTGGCTATTGAGGCAAGAATAAGAGCAGTATATGTTTATGTGAATGAACGAATTAATCTGCATGTGAAATCCCAGCAAAATTGACATGAAGCAAAAATTTCATTCCTTACAGTGTATCAGTGTTGCCCATGAAATGAGATTAAAAGGAATTTTTGATTTTATAGTTGTCATACTTTTCATACTGCTTGCATTTTTCTCTTCTAAAGGGTTCAGTTTGAACCAAGGGGCCAGCCACAGATTCGGCATTTTATATTTTTCCTCATAGCTGAGAGCAGGCTTCCTTACATAGATCTGAGCTGTGGAGGTGTTAGATGTTCTCAGATCTAAAAATGAAATCTGTGATTCTAAAAGCCAGTAGCAAGATCACTGCCCTGAGTGCTGAGATAACTGACGTTCTGGAAAGGTCATTGGCCAAGAGCTTTTCTCCGCTCATTCTTTCTTCCTCACACACATTGGCTCTGAGTTGGGGCTGGTGGTGAGGAAAGGAAGGGATGAGGCATTGTCTACAAAGCCATCTGTGCTAGCACTGGTGATGGAGTGATGGAGGGATGTGGAGGAGGGAAAGATGTGCCTACGCCACCTGCACCTGGGATCCATAGATTGTCACCTCCATGGGGACAGAGAGCTCTCTCCCAGGAAGTTGGTCCCATTCCCACTTTATGTTTTATGTTTGTGTTTCTCTTTGCCTTTCTGGCCCTGGAAATTAGGGAAAATGGAACATGATGAAAATGACCCATTCATTTTCTCTTTGTGGCTCTGGCCTCTGCAATGTGTGCTGGAAGTGCAGGACTTGGAAGGAAATCCTAATTTCTATTTAGGTCAACATAGCTTTTTGTTTAGTAATAGATGTGCATGAATCACCTCACCCAGGGCCTTGCTGAGGTCACATCTTCGCCCACCTGATCAGACTCCAGTGGAAGCCCCTGTTTAGGATGTACCCGTGGCAGCCCACCAGCGGTTTCCCATCTTCCTGTTACCACCCAGGAGCAGCAGCCAGTCCCTCCCTCCTGGACAGGTCGCTGTACCTGCTGGTTTCCAGAGCTCAGTAGAAACCGCCTCTTCGGGTGGTCATTCAAGAGTGGGCATGTGAGTATACACAGTGTACAAGGCCACAGAATAGACCTGAGTCACAATTGGAACAGTCCTGGTTCAGAGGTATTACAACATGTGACGAGGACGCTGGAGTCCAGCAGGCCTGGTTCAAATTCCCTTTGCTAGTTGGAGTGAGTTCCTCAGCCTTTCTGTGCCTCAGTTTCCTCATTAGTGAATCTGTAAACCAGTAGCAGCCTCATAGGATTACTGTGAGCAGTAAATATGTGAGGTGCTCTGCGTGGTGCCTGCTGAGAAAGGTTCAATGAGCAGTAGTTTAACAGCTTTCCAGGAGGTGGATACCGTCATCACTGTAAACCGGGAGCTCCAAGCAGCGAAGGTTCAGTCCCAGTGTGTCCCACGCCACGCCAGGCCTGTTTGATTTCCATTTCATTGTGCTGTGTAGTTGCCTGACCTTTTCCCATTCTCTAACTGTCTTCAGACTCCCGTCTGGGATGCCAGAGCCCACCTTTAAGATTCGGAGCCATTGTCAATTCCAGAGAAGCCAGAGCGGCTTCTCTTTGACACTGACATTTCAGTAATAATAATTACGCTCTCCTCTCCACTTCAGAGTTAGTGGGTATGCCTCTCCATCACTCCCTCCTGGTTTCATGCTGGAGAATAAAATCCTGAATGTTTCTAATTTATGACCAAGTCTTTTCTCCCATGAAGGCAGCATGCCGCAGGAGGAAGATCATGTATCTGGGTGTCCGAGGGCCTGGGTCCTGGCCCCGGCAGACAAGCCACGGAAGCACTGGGAGCCCTGACTGCTCATTGATGAAATGGGGGTGACAGTGATCATCATCACGCTCTCCGTTATAGGCTGCTGCCAGGATGTAATGAGCTCGTGGGGTAAAATAAAAGGCATCGCACGCATCATGACATGACTGCCATGACTGACAGCAACCATCACTGAGCATGTTTCTGACATGCCAAGTTGTCACATATTCAGGTGCAGGGTGGGGGGTGTTGTGGGGGTGAGCAGGAGGCAGTGACTGTGCAGAGGAAAGAGGGGCCACTCCTCCCCAGACCCTGGGGTTAGCATCTCAGAGCACTTTCCTGGAAGCATTTTCGGACAGTAAGTGGCACTGAATGCTCCAGAGCCTGGCAGTGCAGGAAGCCCTTGGAGCCCCAGTTCAAGTTGGGGAAAATTGAGAGTCTTCACTGAGTCATTCATTAAAAATGGAAGAGAAAGAAACAGCATGTCAGCGATCAGCTTAGAAAAGCATGCCTTCCTCATGAGCTGCTGTGGCCATCACGTATAGAGATCCCGGGATTCTGTTTCCCCAGGAGGTGAGGCTGAGACCAGAGTCTCCTCCTGGCTCATGGAGACTCTTCGGTGTCCCCCACACCCCGCCCCCAATCTTTCCCGCTCACTGGCTCTTCTTCCAGTAAAACACTGCATCTTTAATAAATTATCAACGTACTTGCTCGTCTGTCTGCTGGCGCCAGAGCTCAGTGTTGGCAGGGTTTTCCATTCCCTCGTGCCCCTAATAGATCTCACTGTTTGATTGATCTTTTAGATCTCTCCCACAGAAACCCTACTGTCTGGGCCGACTCTCCTCACCATGTCCAGCTTTCTGGATTTTTTTCTCAGACTCTCAACCTTGTTGCTGCCTATCCCCATGCTCATCCCTTGGTCCTTGGACCACAGATGACTCGTGTGTAGGGCTCCAAGGCAGGTGCCTTGAACCCCGGTGAGTTCACAGGGAGACTGTAGGGACGAGCACCAGATTAGGAGTCACAGGATGTGGATTTCCCTCACCCCAGTTACTCAGCAGGTGTGCCACCTTGAGCGAGATTCTGAGCCTTAGTTCAGCTCATCTGTGGAGTGGGGGCGGTTGTGAGGGTCACCTGAGACAAGGGGTGAGTCCAGGCTCCTGAGCTGTGAGCAGGGGCAGGAGGAGAGTCCTGTGAAGCTTTTTGAGCCTGTGAGGTGGGGGATGGCACCCCACTACCTGCCCTCCCTGGGCCTGTGCTGGAGGAGCTCATAGGGTACAGCCCTGTTCTTTACTCTGCAGGGACAGAGGCTGGGGGTCTCAGAGACCAGGAGGACAATGGCTCAGTAAGCCATTACTGACACACACCTGGTGTGTCAGTAAGGTGGGCCCAGTTTAGGAGGTTTAACTGCGTCGTCTCCATGGTCCTTTCCTTTTCTAAACCATGAGCTTGTGATTCTAGTCGATGAGCTGAACCTGGCGTGCGGGCCGGCTCACCCACTCTCTGGGCGTGATGATAGCAATTCTAGCTTCCATTTCCTCAGCACCCTTTAAACACCACGTGCTTACGTGCATCATCTGCAGTCTTCACAACAAAAATGTGTATTTATCCTCATTTTACAGGGAACAGTCTTGAAGCTCAGAGAGGGTAAATGATGTGTCCAAGGGCACACAGCTGGTTCTCGACATGTCCAGACTCAAATGCAGGCATCAGAGCCCAGGTTCTTTTCACTCACATTGACGCTGCATCCTTTGATCTCTGCTCCTCCTCTTGCCTCTCAATGCCCCTTACCTGCTTGTGGGACAGGACAGAACCCCCCAGCAAAGATGCCTTTCCAGCCCCTGTGAGATCTGGTTCCACCCAGCAGGCAGAGTCGTCTGCAGATTTGGGCCGATGCTAAAAATAATAATAGTTACTATTTGTCAAGCATCTAACGTGGCACTATGTAATCACCTAACATAGTAATAGTCTAAGGGAGAAAATCTTCCAGAATTGTTATCTCCATTTTCCAGATGAAGAAACTGAGGCTTGGGAAAGTAATGTCGGATGCCCATTGACAACTGAGCCTCAGTTACAAAATGGCATTTGTGACATTCCTAACCATGCGTATTGAATGTTAGCTATGGTCAGAGCTTCTGAAAGCTGATGCTGTGAGAGCATTTAGCAGGAGAGCCTTGGGCCCATTCCGTGTTACAGAGGAGCAGATGGAAAGCTGGAGAGGTGGGTGATTGGCTCACGTACCCACAGCTGGTCAGTGGTATCCTGATCCCCCAAGCCAGGATTCTGGGAACTGCCTCACGTGGTCTGTAGGTCTAGTTCTGTGCCCATGACTGGAATTCTGTGCCCCATTTCTGTCTGTCCCTCCCTACTTTACCCCCATGAGATCCAGCAGCTCCTCCTCCACGAAGCCATCTTTGCCACTCCAGGCAGAGTTATGCCTCTGCGTAACTGCGTGTGTGCATGCATCTGTGTCACTGTGGTCAATATACCTGCCTCCTCAGCTAGTCCTCCAAGGCAGGACAAATGGCCCCTGTCCCCAAAAGCTCTCAAAGGAGATAACTCTCAGTACCACCTCCCTCCCCAACTTGCCCCTGAGTAACTTGTACCACAAAAGCTGGGGTGTGTGGTCCCCCTGCCTCCCAGCATGTGGAATAGGAAGCATCCCCAAGGCAGTGCCTTCGTCCTAACCCCATGAGGGATTTCAGAGCATCTTTCCCCATAGCAGGGACCACAGCAGCCAGGAGCAGCTTCAGGCCTGGCCATTGGACACACCCGGTCCTGGTGGTGGCAGGCTGCTGAGTCACTCTGCTTGGGCTCTTTTTCCTCTGCTGTCTCTTATGGAGAGACCAGGAGGCTCTGCTGAGCTCTGTGACTTGTTGCCTCCTGTTAGAGAGACAGATGCTGGCCCTCCTCCCTGACATCCACTTGTTCCTCTTGGGGCTGACCATGCTGGCTCCTTCCCCTCTGCCTGGGCCTCTCCAAGCCCCTCCATGCTCTCACAGACCTGCCACCTGCCAGCTAACACTCCCTCCAGGTCTCCCTCAACCCTGGTTCCACCTCAACTACCTACGAGCAATGCCCTCCCTCTCCTCTGCTCCTAAGTGAGTCAGGTCTGTGTCCAAAGATAAGCAAGGCCAAGGTCTCTTCTCACTGGGAGCTGTTTCAAGGCATTCTCCTTCCCTTTTTCTACTGCTTATCTAATGTACAACAAATCACTCCTGATTAAACTTTGTGGTGTAAAACAACAAGAATCATCGATTATCTTCACAGTGTCTGTGGGTCAGGAATTCAGAGCATCTTGGCTGGGTGGTTCTGGCTTGGAGTCTCATTGAACTGCAGTTGGAAGTCTGTTGTAGCCACTGTCATCTGAAGGCTTGACTGGAGCTTCAGACCCACTTCCAAGGTGACTCATTCATGTGGCTGGCAAGTTGGTGCCAGCCTTCAGCAGGTGGCCACAGTTCCTCTCCACCTGGACATCTCTCCGTAGACAGGGCTGCTCGAGTGTCCCCACAGCATGGCAGCTGGCTTCCCTCCAAGTGGCCAAGGCAGAGCCTGCAATGTTTTTGTGATTTAACCTTGGGAGACACACACCGTCACTTCTACCATATTCTATGGGTCATATGAGCTGCCCTGCTTCAGTGAGGGAGGGGCTACACAAGGACATAAAACCCAGTTAGTGAAGATCAGTGGCAGCCATCGGCGGCTGGCTGTCACACCTTAGAAAGCTAGAAGAGGCTGTCTTCAGCTGACCTAGGAACGCACTTCCTGACTTACTTTCTCCCTTTCTCTATCAATGGACAACTGGTATACTTAAACCCTGTTCTAGTGATGTAAAGATGGACAAGGGCATGGGCCTTCCCTGGAGGAACTCACAGTCAAGTTGAGGAGAGTCTCATCACGAGAACTGCGAGAAAAGAGTTATGTACAGAATGATGGCAACACAAAGGACAGGTCCTTACCTATTTGGGGGAGTATGGAACACCTTCACAGCAGAGGGGACATTTGCTCTGGGTCTTGAAGGTTGAATAAGAGTCCTCAGGTAGAGGAAGGAGAAAGGACGTTGCTCCATGCAGAGGTAATAGCATGAGCAATGGTGGAGAGTCATGGCAGCATACAAGACTGATTTTGAAGGGTGTAGAAGGCTGTGATAGGGAGTTTGGACTTCATACATCAGGAACTGCTGGAGGGATTCAAACCAGAGGAAGCTTTGGCAGAGCTATGTGGTGGACAGGACATGACTGGCAGGGGCAGAGACTGAAGGCAGAAAGATGGGTCAGGAAGCTGCTGCAGTGCTCCCCTGAGAAAAAAGGACTGTCTGAGAGGCCATGGGCATGAGAGGAGGGGTGAATTCAGGAGGTGGGGCAAAAGGACATGGTGAGAAATTGTTTCTGGCAGAGAGGACAGGCTTGAAGGACAAGACTTACCTTTTCCACCATCTCTGCTCCTGGGGCCTTCCTTCCCTAACTTTTGGCTCCTCCTGGATGACCCACGCCCAGCCCATGCTTGAGTCCTGATCAGAGCTGCCTGGCTTTTTCTAAATAAGTTCTCTGGACCGACACCATGAGCCTTCAGCCTATGCCCCTATAGAAAAAACTGATCAGAGTTATCTGAGAGGCCAACATGACACCAGGGCCATTAGCCTAGGACTAAGGATCTTAAATGCTTTAGGCCACAGACTTTCTTGAGACTAGTGAAAACTATGAACTATCTTTCCAGGGGAAAAGAAATGCACATTTATACACACAGTTTGCAAACAATTTCAGAGGGCTCACGTGTCCCTTGAAGTCCATCCCTGGGTCTCTGAACCCTATATTAAAAGCCCCAGGCCTAGGAAAAAAATAGATAATGAAAAAAGCAAATATTTGACTCCCTAAAGTCTGTTATTTACTTCATCTTTTAATATCCCCCAGCTCCCCGCAATAATTGAACATCCCCCGAAATAGCAAGAAACAGGAGGAAGCATTTACCCAGTGATAGCCCCTGGTGCCACCAGCCTCACTTGGCGGGTTTATTTTCATTATTATAGTAATTTTCAAGCTGCAGGCTACAATTTTCACTT
The DNA here is from genome assembly GCF_000001405.40 of Homo sapiens. NCBI lineage: Eukaryota > Metazoa > Chordata > Mammalia > Primates > Hominidae > Homo > Homo sapiens. The sequence continues at coordinate 30,966,942 of NC_000002.12, read as the reverse complement.
GCAGCGAGGTATTAAATTGAAATTACCCCAGATGTAATTGTCATAGGAAATAATCCTGGATACATGGAAGTGAATGCCTTTTCAAGATGGGGTTTTATCACTTATACCAGGGTTTGGGGCTCTGCCTCTTTTACATGCCACATTTAGGTGTGTGTTGCAGGGGCTGGGCGTCAGCACAACATGGTAGCCTGAAGCTGTTAGCCCAGAACACAGTGAAGCCTCTGCCGACTGGAATCTACCCACTGGCCAGTGGTGTGGGCAGATGGGCTGAAAGGGTAGAGAGTGGGAAGCAGAGCCCGACTTGGGGTTGTGTTCATGCAGCTACCAGGAGCCACTGTGCACTGGCTCAGGCATGCAAGAAATACCACACTTATTTTCAGTATATCAACTCAATTCGTCTCCAAGCCTAGGTTCCCCCAAGGTGGTAGAAAATTCAGATTTAGTCATTCTTGGAGCTCCCCAGCCCCTCTTAGGGCCAGGTGAAGCCGTGGGGTCTTACCTAGTACTCTGCAGCTGGGGAAGCCCTTCTAGATATCAAGCATCTGGCATAGGGATGCCCACCCAGATGCCCTCGGTTCTAGCCCTCCAGATATGCTTTGTCCCTGAAGGTCTCACTTGCCCTGTGCCTTTCCTTCCCCAGATGCACACTGCTGGTGTATTGCACGGACCTTCCACCCACTAGCATCATCATCACCTTCCACAACGAGGCCCGCTCCACGCTGCTCAGGACCATCCGCAGGTGAGGCATCCTTGCTTGTCTGTTGGCCAGCTCTGGGCCAGCACTTGGTGACAGTGTGTCTGCTCCCCAGGTGCCCAGCGCTGTACTAGGAGCACCAGACACATCTAACTACGTGCCAGGCACTATTCTATATGTCACATGTGTCCACTCAGTCACTCCTCACATTCCTGTAAGGGAGGCTATTATCCCATTTTATAGAAAGACAGAGGCCTGTGGTGTTAGGTAACGTGCAGAAGGTCAAAGAGAATAAGTAGAAGAAGCAGCCTCAGAGCCCTCGGCCTCCCCACTCTGCCAGGCTGCCTCTAGAGCATGGGTTCTGACTTCCACAAATGAGGAAGGGGCTGAGGCCCTGAAAGGCTGAGTGCACACCCCAGCCCCAGCATCAGGCTGGGTCAGCACCCAGCACCCTGATTCTCTGCCCTCCCACACACTTGCCAGGGGCCATGCAAATCAGAACGGCCTGCAGCAATCACTAAGGCTTGCCTTCCTGACCATCTACCTGCAGTTCCATCCCCGTTCCCCTGGGCTTCAGTCCACTCATCCTCTGGGTCGTGTTCTTGCTCTAATAGGTGTATCCTGCTATGGATGGCCTCTGGCCTGCGTGGGTTTTTGATGTGCCCAAGTCCCAGTGCCAGTCCCTAGCAGAACTCCCCTCAGAACATAGACCTGCACCCAGAAGGCTTACCCAGGATTTCCTCCCCCAGATTCTCCAAAGACTCTGGCTGTTTCACCCCCCTTCCCCCATGCCCGCCCTCCCCTCCAGAAGTCATCTGTCCTCTTCTCCCTCCCTCAGGCCACCAGCAGTATCTACCTCTCAGATGGCAATGACAGCAGCCGCCCTCACTCCAGCTCCTCTGCGCACATATTCTGTGCACCTCAGCTGCAGAGGTGAGGAGGCCACTGCCACGCCCACTTCACAGCTGAGGAAACTGACATTGGAGATACTAAATCAAGGTCCAGTGTCGCCTAGCCAGTGATAGTGAGGCAGGATTCCAGGCCTTGCACTCTGATCTCAGAGTCCTCCTTCTTGTCAGCCTGAGTAGGGAGAGGCTAGTCCCAGTGGTGGTGTTCAGCATCCTTCGGGGCCAGGAATGCCACAGCCACGTCCCGCAGCTGAGCAAGAACCCCCAGTACCTCCATGTCCCCATGAAACGCGGCTCATTAGACCCTTCCTGTCCTGCTGAGCAGCACATCAGCTGGTGCCGATGCCACAGAGAAAAAAATATGATGAAACATGGGTCAGAGAGCACACGAAACACAGCAAAATCTCATTGTTTCCATCATGCAGGCTACACTTTTCCTGTCTCTCCCGCCGCCGCATGGCTGTGGGCAGTGGGAAGTTCCAGGTGATGGGAGGTAAGTCCTGCAGTAGGGTCACCCTGAGGGAAGGCACCAAATCTTCAGCTCCACCTGTCATGAATGATGAATGTCCACTGTATACAGTCACCACATCCCTTAGAGACATAGGGAGGGACCTGCCCAGACACACAGTTTTTAGCCCAGTGCTTCCACCCATCCAAGGGGACAGCCCTGTCTGCTGTTTAGACATCCTTGGCAATGTCAGGCTGGCTTCTTCCTCCAGCCACGTGCCCATCCTGGCTTCTGTAATCACCCCAAGAGCCACCTGATTCAAATTTGATTTCCCAACCAGGCAATAGCTCTTGACAAGAAAATGTGCCAAGTCACTGTCAGGTGTCACCGGGAGTCTCGGGGTAGATTAACGATAACAAAGCGCCTGGCTGGTTAAGTGTGGGGACAACAGGGATGGAGGAGGCCCAATTCTCCTGGGTCTCCTGTGGTGAGGGGAGGAGCGTCTGGGGCATCCAGGCTGAGAGGACACACAGGGAGGTGGAGGTGGCTGGTTCTGAAGTGCCAGACCACAGCCCTGCCGTTGTGATGTGCTGGGGCACCAGGGGGGGTTCATGGAGCAGACCAACTGCAACCTCTGCCTTCCCCACCGCCATGGTGGCTGCTCCACCGGTCATGACTGGGCATGCCTGCCAGATGTTTCCATGAGAACAGCGTTAGCACCTGAGAGAGGCCCCTCGCTTTCCAGGCTGGCCTCTCCCTGCCCATCCTGCAAGAAGCTCTCTGATGCTGGGTGCCTCCATCCCCTGACACCATCACACACATGCACCCCATCAGGGGCTTCCTCTGGGCCCTTCTCTACATATCACTACTCCAGTACTTGCTGCATTTTTTCAGCATGTAACCTTCAGTGAGCTCCTTTAGGGCAAGGACTTATCTTATCCATCTCTTAACCTCCCAATGGCTCAGTATCCTAACCAAGGAAATGAGAATACTAATCGTACTTAGTGCATAGGGTTGCTAAGGGTTAATTCGGCTAAAGGACTGAGAACAGTGCCTGGCATGGAATAAATGCTTGATCAAAGAAAGGAGGCTATGGGATACTTAAAAGGGTACCACACTTGGAGTCAGAAGACCTGGAGTCAAATCCAAACCCTACCACTTCCTAGCTGTGTGACCCTGGGGCATGTTATTAACTACATCTGTAGAAAATGATGATAAAAATATCTTTCATGTTTCTAATTCTATCACATTTCTACAATAAACGTTCCTCTGGGGAATGTCTCAGACATTTGGGGGCATTACAGTGTATGTAATATGGGGGCTTCTAGGCCCCCCAGGCCTCCCTAACAGTGTTTATGTCCTCGAGGGTACCTTAGCTGCTGTGCTCAGACTCTAAGACATGTTTCTCCTCTTCCTGCCGCTCCTCCACCTCTATGTGGTATTAATGATACTTAATAAGATTACCGTGTTAAATGTATCCTGAGCTTTGTGGCCTGCAGAACACATTCCTTCTCTCACTCCAGTTGGAGCCTCATCCTGAGCCTGTGGGGCAGGTGGTGCACTTGTTGAGAGCAGAGGCATCAGGCGTCAGCTTTCCTGGGTTTCCTGGAGGTACAGCGCGGCTCCTCTGTCTGCCTGCCTGTTGGAGGGCTGCCCTGAGGCCCTGGAACCCTGCACTCTGGGAGGGTTCTTGGCGCCCATCAGCCCTGTACTTTTCAGAAGACACCCATGACGTGCCAGACGACTTAGCTGAGAGAGCCTGTTTCCTGCCTCCTAGGAACTTCAGATGTCAGCCAGCCCCGAGCTCAGACCCAAGTATGACACACACAAACAGCAAAATGGAGACCTGAGAGGCATGTGTAGACAACCAGGAGCTTATATCAAAAGCAGGCAGGGCAGAAATGAATGTTAGGGGTGGAGGCAGGAAAGATTACTTCTAGAAACTTCCATGCCTTAAGATTCTATACCTCCCTTTCACTCTCTATCCTGTTGCACAAATGAATCACTAGCCACTGAGAGGGGACTGACTGAAGGACATGTCCTGTCTCAGAGGTCTTCAATAAAGGGATCTTCTCTAAAGTACCTTTCATTGTTAACTTTCTGGAATTCTGGACAGGCTTTGTTGTCAGGCTCTTTGCAACCCCCCTGCCCAGACCCTCTGGCCCCCTAAGCTCTGGAGTTAGCTGGGGACTAGACAGGCTCACGTGGGGAACTCAGAGCCAGGTAGAGGCTCAATCGGGCACACAGATGATGGGGTGGGTGTAGAGAAGCATGACCTTGATGAATTAGGGGACATTCTCACTTAGAGAGAAAACAAGCCCTGAAGAGTGGTTTATCTTGACTCCTGATGCAGTGAGTCTGCATGTTTATGGGAGACCCAGCGCTGTCACCTTCCTTTTGGGGCATCCTTCACCGCCACCCCTCCCATGGGGGCTCTGAGGCATGGGCAATGGATCCCTTTATGTGTTGAGTCTTCTCACTGTTGCTTTTTTATAATATCCCAGATCTAGGGGAGCCATTTCTCAGAGTAAGGTGGTTAAGAATTTGGACTCTGGGGCCAGATTTTCATGGCTCTGCCCTTAACAGGTGTGTGATCACAAGCAAGCAAGTTAGCCTTTCTGCCTCAGTTTCCTTTTCTGCAAAACAGAGACTGCTAATAATAACTACCTGACATCATTGTGGAGAAGACAAAGTAATTTCAGATAGGGAAAGGACTTGGAGCAGTGCCTGGCATATGGTGAGCCTGAGCGGTGACAACAGGTGTATATTGTGAGCCTCCAGCCCTGGCAGACAGCAGAGTTCTAATGCAGGGGCTCTCAAACTTGAGCAGGCTTCAGAAGCTCCCGGAGGGCTTATTAAAACACAGTTTCTTGGGCCCCATCTGTAGAAAGTCTAACCCAGGCTGGGCACAGGGGCTCATGTCTGTAATCCCAACATTTTGGGAGGCCAAGGTGTGCAGATCACCTGATGTCAGGAGATCAAGACCAGCCTGGCTAACATGGTGAAACCCCGTCTCTACTAAAAAAAACAAAAAAACCAAAAAATTAGCTGGGCATGGTGGCAGGCGCCTGTAATCCCAGCTACTTGGGAGGCTGAGTCAGGAGAATCACTTGAACCTGGGAGGCGGAGGTTGTAGTGAGCCGAGATTGTGCCATTGCACTCCAGTCTTGGCAACAACAGTGAAACTCCATCTCAAAAAAAAAAAAAAGAAAGTCTAACCCAGTAAGCCTAGAGTGGGGCCCAAGAATTTGCATTTCTAACAAGTATCTAGGTGACGGTGATGCTGCTGGCTCCAGGATCCCACTTGGGAAAGTTATGCATATTGCTATTATTAGCTTCAATATTATTAATATCAATACCACCATTCAGAGAGCAGCTGCTGTGTGCCAGGCATGGTGAGCTCCTTTCACACAGCTGAGGAAATTATAGTGCTGAAGGTTCAGTACTTACTGAAGCTCTCCCAGCTAGTGAATGGTGGATACAAAGAAACAGTACTTGAACCCAAGTTAGTCTCACTCCAGAATGACTAAACTCAACTGTCAGCCGGCCTTGGGTCTTCATTCTACTGGTATTTATGGAGCGTTTGATAAAACCTGCCTGCATAGAGCACCGTGGAGTTCACAAAGCAATTTCAAATACATTTCCTTATTTCACAGGCACAAAAGCCTGTGAAGTAGGTCAAGTATTAATATCGCCTGCTTTTACAAGGAAAATGTAATTACAGGAGGAAATGAAGGCTGGGAGCGAACCAACATCTATCTGGTTCAGGATTGCACAGTTAGTGGGTGGTGCAGCCCACCTGGCCTCTGAGCCTACACTGCCCACGCTGCCCTGCGGCCTCTGGGGGCTCCTTGAGGGCCAATAGTTAGGGTGCAGCAGGTGTAGAAGCCACCTGTGTACCTGCCCTCTGGCAGAGAGATGAGCTGCATATAGAAGACTCTGTTCTAGAACAATCCCAGGCAGAGTGAGGAGAGCATTTATTCCCATGCTGAGGCAAAGGAAGGGTGTGGGGAAGGCAGCTGGAGTGGGGGTGAGGCTGAGAAGAGCTATCCTCTGCTGGGCCTGGACGAATGGATTTGCTTTGCTGTAGAGGCAGTGGTGAGAGCAAGGGAGGGAGACCTGAGCAACCATTCCCTCCCAGGGTGGAGGGAATGAGAGTGGGTGTGCATGAGGGAGGGCCCTGGAGGACCACCTAGGCCAGGCTAGGTCCCTTGGACTGGACTTGACCTTCTCCTCTGACCACCCAGAGCACGTGCCCACCTCAGGCCCTCCCAGCTGCAGGCCATGTTTAAGGGGACTCCGCCATCGCTCCAATTGTTCTGATTAGAGAAGCAAAAACAAGCCAGGTGTTACCACGAAATGGTCTAATTAGCACTCACTGCTGACTATTTCTTTTTTTTTTCTTTTCTGTTTTAAACCCTGGACATTTTTTATTCACTAATCATCTCTCAGTTCAACCAGTGCAGAGCCGCACGCGATTTACCTTTTGATGTTCGCAGAAGAGAACTCTTGAATTTCAAAGAGCTGGCAGGGATTTAGCAGAATTGAATGCAGAAGCTACAGCCGTAATCAAACCTCATTAGGGGTTATTCTTCCAGCAGGTTTTCCGCTGTCTCCTGCTTCCCTCCCTGATTAGAGGGCTGGTTGTTGTTTGTATGTGTTTTCTTTGGGACGATCATGGTGAACAGTCCCATTCCACCATCCTCTGGCAGAGGCTGCAGCCTTCTTTCCCCTCCCTGACCATGAGCTCCCGAAGACAGAGACAGTGAGCTCACGACTTTGTGTTGGGGTTCCTCTCTCCATCTGATACTAGTTGCCATGGTGAGAATCAAGGCTTCATAAATATGGTAGCTCCAGGCTAAGTTCTCTTCCAGTAGAGTCTGCATCCTGCATAGAAGGGGTAGTGCTCTCCAGTCAGGGCTCAGAAGGGTCCTCCTGGGAGGAGGGCTGCATACAGCGCCTCCACCTGCACCCATTCTGAACCCCCTCTCCAACATCACAGGGAATCCCGTGATAGCTGGTGTGGCCCAGCCATGTTTCTGAGTAGTCACGTGGTTTGGGGTGTTCAGGAGAAGCAGGATCCAGTCATCTCAGTCAGACCTAAGACACAGAGTTAACCTTGCCCCTGGATAGAGATCCACAGCACAGGAGGGGTAAGTGAGTCAGTTAGATTCAAAAATCATTAATGATGCACCAAATTAAGTGATAATAAAAAATTGCAACCATTTGTTATCATAAAGTGCCAAATATCATGTTAAATGCTTTTTATACACTTTCTCCTTTAATTTGCTCAACTGCACTGTGAAATAAGTACTCCTATTATCCCTGTTTTCTAGATGGGATTCTTTGCTGCACAGAGCAGTAAAGTAACTTGCCCGAGATTACACAGCTTGTAGTAAGTAGCTGCTATACCACAAGCTTCTGGAGGGTAGAATCATCATATGCCCAGTGCTGAGCACATAGTAGGTGTTCAGTAAATATCCCTCGAGGGAATAGTTATGGACCAAGGCTCTGTGCTAGACTCTGGCAATAAAGAGAGCAATGGGTCAAGGGTCTTGCCCTGGGATATTTCCCTCCAGAGGGGACCACAGGCGGGTGAGGTACAAAACCAAACTTCAGGGCTGGGAAGTGAGAAAAGTCATAGGATCAGATACAAACTACTAGGAGATCCCAGAGGAGGAAGCAATTAATTCTCACGTAGTGGCTTGGAAAGCTGTTAGGGAGGAAGTGACATTCAAACTGGTCCTTGTGGGCAGCACAGGGGCATTTCAAGCAGCGGCAGCAGCAGGAGAGAGGCTCTTAGTTATGAATGAGCAGGACAGCTTCAGACAGCGGCACTGGGCATGGGAGGTGGGGAAATGTGGGCCAGCTTCTGATGGCAAAGGCCTTAGGAATGTGCTGAGGATTTGGGATGTCAATAGTGAGGAGCCCCTGGGGGGCTGTCAGTTTATTTATTTGCATTGGCGAGGAGAGTCACACAATCAAAGCTCCTTGTCAGAAAGTTCGCTCTGGAGACCACGAGCAAGATGGCCTGGGAGAGGCTGGGGCAAGTTGAGGCTATAAACTAGACAGAAGAGGTTAAATCAGGGGAGAGATATAAGAAGTGAAAGTGATTTGAGTGACATTTTCCAGTCAAACCAGCCAGTCTTTACTGATTTGCTGTGGGGTTTCAGGGAGTAGGAGGGTTGCCGAGGTTAACTCCTGGGCTTCTGTCTGGGTGGCTTTGCGGGTGGTGGAGGTATTCACTAAGATGGTGAAGGCAGAATTACATTCCTCCTGGCTCACAGATAAGCAATATGACTGGACAAGCCCGTTGGTGCTCTGATTTTTCATTCCTTAAATGCAATGGTATCTATTTAAAACTCGGGTTAGTACATATATTTTGCCACTAGAAGTTCCAGTGATTTTTTTCTGTTTCCATCTTGCAGTGTATTAAACCGCACCCCTACGCATCTGATCCGGGAAATCATATTAGTGGATGACTTCAGCAATGACCGTAAGTCATGTTGCTCACTTGCTCTTTAGACACGAATGTCTGTTCCCAGCCACTCTGTAACAGGCAGAGGTGAGTCCACTGGTTTTCTGGGAATGGGGAAAAGCCCAGGTTTGTAATAGGTACGGAAGTCTTTGAGCGTCCGTGGCTAGGCTCAGAAGGAGAGAAGCTTTATATCCAAAAAACAATTTCTCGGGTTCTCTGCAATAATCTGCAGTCTGAGCTAAGGCCCTCTTCCTATCATTTCCTGGGAGGTCTAGGTGGGCCCTGTCTTTGGGACCTCCCCAACCCCGTGGGACATCCTGTCACCTGGCCATGACACAGTGAGGGTTGCCTTCCAACCTTTCCGCATTCTTTTCTTGCTCATTTCCTACCTTGTGTCCTCCAGTTATCCTATCAAAGAACCTGAGTCTCATCCAAATTCACAGCAAATCCACTCTCTCCAAGAAAAACATGTGTGTCTTACCAGACACTGTGCATCAAATTTGAAATGTACAGTAATAGTTGAAGCATTGTCAGAAGTAATGTACTGGTAGTGCCGACACCTCACCTGAAGGCCGTCCTCCCAGGAGCCTGGGTACAGTTCTGTGCAGTCAATCATAACCAAGCAGAACACCCTCTTCCTGGTGACGAACTGAGGGAAATGGAATGACCACTGTGGACAGCTCCAGGTCCTATCAGAGTGGAGTCCACCCCCACTAGTTCTGAGGCTGGAAGCTGGGCATTGGGAGCCACCCCCACACTGCGGTCTGCTGTACGAAGGCTGGAAACCCCTACCCATTGGTGCTGCCTCAGAACCTCTGGGGGTGATGCAGAAGTGGGCTGTACATGAGGCCTAGAGTAATGAGATCAAGACTCTGAGTTCTGGAACGTGAGGATCGGCTCTCCCTTCCCCAGTGAGGAAGAGCTTGGAGGTGGGCAGACACTGGCCCTGCTGAGGGGTAGCCTGGCACTGAAGCAAGAGAAGAGAGTGCTGCTGGATTCACTTGCAAGCAGAATAGCAGTGGTTAAAACATGGACTCTGGAGCCAGACTGCCTAGGTTCAAATCCTAGACCTGTAAATCACTCACTAGCTATGTGCCTTGGGCAAATAATCAACCTGGTGCATGTCAGTTTCCTTGTTATAAAACAGAGATGGTATATATGGTTTATATAAGGATTAAACATGTTAACACATTTGAAGTGCTTAGAACAGTACCTAGCCCAGAAGCCTGTGTAAGTCTTTTCTGTTATTCTTTAAAGTTCAGAGCCAAGCAGGGAGGCCAAGGTCAATAAACTAATAAAGCAAAACCACAATGGTGGAGCCAAGATATGGAGTTCAGAGCCAGGGAGCTGGTGAACCAAAGGAGTGAGGAGCAGCAGGCAAGCCAGGGAGTAACAGGGACAAATGCTTAGGATGGGGTTTCCTGTATGGTGGAGAAGTGAACCAGCTCTGTGTAATGGGAGGCATGCTGAGTGGGACCCTTCCAAAAGCAGGTCTGTGAGCTGAAAGGAAAGTCTAAAATCTCATTTATTCTTGGCCTTCCAGCAGTTTTTACCAGACCTACTAAATTGACCAGTGCTTTGAATGGCCTATAAGAAAAGAGAAATGGGGAACGGGCACAGAGGCTCATGCCTGTAATTCTAGCACTTTGGGAGGCTGAGGCGGGAGGATCATCTGAGGTCAGGAGTTCGAGACCAGCCTGGTTAACATGGTGAAACCTTGTCTTTACTACAAATACATAAATTAGCCAGGCATTGTGGTGCATGCCTGTGGTCCCAGCTATCTGGGAGGCTGAGGCAGGAGAATCACTTGAACCCAGGAGGTGGAAGTTGTAGTGAGCAGAGATTGCGCCACTGAACTCCAACCTGGGCGACAGCGAGATTCCGTCTCAAAAACAAACAAAAGAGAAATGAGATTGTTTGTATTAATAACAAGGATAAATGCTTGAGGGGATGGATACTCCATTCTCCATGATGTGATTATTACACATTGCATGCCTGGATCAAAACATTTCCTGTGCCCCATAAATATATATATCTACTATGTGTCCATAAGAATTAAAGATTAAAAATTTAAATTAAAAATTGTTTAAAGAGAAAAATAACAAAAAAGAAAAGAGAAATGTCCCCAGGTGACTAGGCCAAGATTTTCCACCTGGAACATTTTCAAGCAAGTATACAGGTGCCATTGTGTACTGACCTGTTCCAAAGTGGCCCAGTTGAGGCCTCTTTGCCCTAGACTGGCCACCTTGTATGACAGCAGTGATCTGTCAGCCTCTCATAGCCTGGAAACACCCTGGAGTCAGGACTGCACTCTGCAGTTAGGGGACAGTGGACAGGGCTGCCTCACCTACCCTTCAGGTTCACCTGCAGTGCACACAATTGTAACACGTAGGTCCATCCCTGGGCGCTCAATTGGCTTAACCTTTTGTCTTTGCAGCTGATGACTGTAAACAGCTCATCAAGTTGCCCAAGGTGAAATGCTTGCGCAATAATGAACGGCAAGGTAGGTCTGAGCTGTTGTGCGGGAGCCTCCAGTGTGAGTGTCGGGGGGTCGAAGGTGTGATGGTGTGTGTGTGTTGGGGTGATCAGTGGGGAATGCTGGGTGGCTTCTCCCTGGTCTCGCTGGACAATGGAGTGACAGTGGCACCCACTTCGTCATTTGTTCCTGACTGCAGGTCTGGTCCGGTCCCGGATTCGGGGCGCTGACATCGCCCAGGGCACCACTCTGACTTTCCTCGACAGCCACTGTGAGGTGAACAGGGACTGGCTCCAGCCTCTGTTGCACAGGGTCAAAGAGGTGAGTGAGGCTGAGGAGCAGGGCCGGGCCTCGTGCCCCAGCTTTCTCCAGGCTCTCTCTCAAGCTCATTACTTCACATGTGCAACCCCCAGTTCTTCTGGGAGGTGGGCAGAACAGATCGCAGTCCCGATTTTATTGATGAAGGAACTAAGGTAGAGCAGCCTGTGTGAGGTCACATGGCAGTCAGTGGTGGAGCAAGGACCGGGATGTGTTGTGACTGGGACTGTCACCCATAGCAGGCCTGCACTTGGGACAGCTGGGATATAACATATGCAGTTTCCTGGGCAGGAATGAACTGCCCAGAACCGGTTCTACCGGAGAGCAGAAGGTTCCAGAATGGGAACCCTTATGGGTGTCTTTTGTAGAAAGGAGGCAGCAAACTTAACCAGGCTTCATCCCCTAATTCCTGGGGCCTCTGTCTTACTTCTACCCTCACCCAAAGGCTACACCAAGCAGGCAGGCTAGATGCTAAGAGACCTGAATTCCTTGCCCCTCTTTGCCCTTAAATTACTCTACAATTCTGGATGCTTCATTCCTCCAGTGTCTCAATTACTCCCCAAAAAGTGAAAGGAAATTTAATTTTTCTTATTATTTTATATTCCCTGAAGTCTATCCACTTCCCTACTGATCTACAGAATGTGTGGCAATTGCAGATGGCAGTATCAATTCAATGACTAGCATTCGTACTGTGTTCCTCTTCCTGAGTTATTGACTCCTATAGCCATTCTGTGAAGTAGGAGGTCAGGTATTTTTAATATACCCACTTCACTAAAGAGGAAACAGTCAGGGCAATTATATCACTAGGTCTGATGTTTTCTACTTGGTACCACCAGCACCAGAACGCTGGCGTTACCTCAACAGCATCTTCCCTGTGCTGTGGTTATTTCCTGCTCACTCTTCATGGTAGCTCCTAAACTCCTACCTGCATAATGACATTGTTAAGAGGACTAAAGAATCAAGCTATGTCGTCTGCTCAGAAGAAAACAAGGAAATCCTTCCCAACATTGTTCATTCCAATGAGATAACCTCAGTGGGTTTACAAAGTTCTGTCACATGGGCCTAGAGGTTAAGGCCCATCAGTAACCATTTTCTCTGAGATTGGGATGGCTCGTCTTCCACTTAGTGTTGTTTAGAAAAATCTCCTCTCTAGAATCGCTTGAACCCAGGAGGCAGAGGTTGCAGAGAGCTGAGATCGCACCATTGCACTCCAGCTGAGGCAACAAGAGTGAAATTCTGTCTCAAAAACAAAAAAGAGGAAGAAGAAAAATCTCCTCTCCTACTCTTTTTTGATATCTTCTAGGCAAAGAGGTCTGGATTGGGAAATGTTGAAGGGCCTCTCCTGGCACTGAAGTCCCTTCCAAATGCACGCCTCCCTCCATGCTCTCTTCTGCAGCCCCTTGTCCCTGGACATGCCATGACATTCCCACTGCTCCAGCTCTGACCAAGCCCTTCCTGTCCCTGGATGCCCTTCCCCTCCTCTCCACAAACCCGCTTGCTCTGTGGGGCCTCGTCCACGGCTCCCCTCCTCTAGGCAGCCTTTCCTGACTGCGTGGCCAGCTAGGATCACTACTGGCAGTCATTGCTCCCTTGGCCCACCATTTCCTCTTCTGGGTTAGTCCTCTGCCTCCCCTAATAGCTTACAAATCCAGTGGGGGCACCAATGACTCCTTGTGGCCACCCTGCCTGTCATAGAGTAGGTGCTCAGTGTTCAGAAATGATAATAAAAAACCGGATGCCATGGGGAGGTGTTATGGTTGGAAGAGGAGAAAATCAAGCTTGCTTCCTACCGGTAAATGAATCAACAGACGTTTCCTGAGCACCTATTTTGGGCAGTGTCCCAAGGGTTGGAATGGGCTGTGTAAAAGGTATCCATACCCTGCTTAGTAAGGTCCGCTGGGTTCTTTGTGCACTGGTGCCACACTGCTTCACAAATGACCTCCAGTAAAGGGAAGCACAGTATAAGTGACAGCAAGTAGAAGCAACACAAAAACTCTAGAAAGAAGGAAATTTGGCTGGGTGCGGTGGCGCATGCCTATAATCCCAGCACTTTGGGAGGCCAAGGTGGATGGATCTCGAGGTCAGGAGATTGAGACCATCCTGGCCAACATGGCGAAACCCTGTCTCTACTAAAAATATAAAAAATTAGCTGAGTGTGGTGGCACGCACCTGTAGTCCCAGCTACTCGGGAGGCTGAGGCAGGAGAATCGCTTGAACCAGGGAGGCAGTGGTTGCAGTGAATCGAGATTGTGCCACTGCACTCCAGCCTGGGCGACAGAGCAAGACTCTCTCTCAAAAAAAAAAAAAAAAAAAAAGGAAGGAAATTATTTGTGAGGAAGAAATATGGAAAACATTTGAGCACCTCCTGGTTATAGAAGTAGAGGAACTCTACTCCGCAGCAGGAACCTTTACCTCCCCAAAAATGTCTTTCTGCCTGTGAGTTGTTGACACTACCCTAGGGCCAGCTATGTCGTCCTGCTGCCATTCATGCCTGGAGTTAAAAGGAAACCGGAGTATGTTAAACAAAAACTAAAGGTTAAGGTTGCAGAATCAGAACTGAGTCTAGGAGTACTTAGCTGGGGAAGAAACTGGTGGGAGTTGGAGATAGTGTCTCTGTTTACAGGGGATTTTATACAGAAGAGACAAGGTGTTCCTTACTTAAACTCAGGTCATATTTTTAAAGTGGATTTCAAACTCAGGGACTGCAGTATAGTGGAAAACCCCTTGGCAGGGGATGGAGTAGGCTGCGACTTACCTTATCTTCCATTACAACAGTAACCCATGGTCATTGCAGACATTTTGGAAAATATGGACTGGTAGAATGAAAATGAATCAACCAAAATTCTTTTTTTTTTTTTTTATTATGCTTTAAGTTTTAGGGTACATGTGCACAATGTGCAGGTTAGTTACATATGTATACATGTGCCATGCTGGTGCGCTGCACCCACTAACTCGTCATCTAGCATTAGGTATATCTCCCGATGCTATCCCTCCCCCCTCCCCCCACCCCACCACAGTCCCCAGAGTGTGATATTCCCCTTCCTGTGTCCATGTGATCTCATTGTTCAATTCCCACTTATGAGTGAGAATATGCGGTGTTTGGTTTTTTGTTCTTGCAATAGTTTACTGAGAATGATGATTTCCAATTTCATCCATGTCCCTACAAAGGACATGAACTCATCATTTTTTATGGCTGCATAGTATTCCATGGTGTATATGTGCCACATTTTCTTAATCCAGTCTATCATTGTTGGACATTTGGGTTGGTTCCACGTCTTTGCTATTGTGAATAATGCCGCAATAAACATACGTGTGCATGTGTCTTTATAGCAGCATGATTTATAGAATCAACCAAAATTCTATCATGCAAAGACATCCACTGTTAACCTTTCTTTCCATTCAGTATCTTTTTCCTTTGCAGAAAGTGTCTTTTTTAAATAGTTACTATAATACTGTATTTATATGATTTTTGTATTCTGCTTTTTTCCCTTAATGTTATACATAAGCATTTTCTGAGCAACTTTTCTAAGGCAGTTTGCTCCTTGCCGAGAGAATGGCAGATGCGTTGTAGTGTACGCTTGCAGTCAAGAAGTTCATCTCAGAAAGAAATGAGGGGCTGAGGTCCAGGGCACGGTGCAGTGCACACTTGGCACTTCTGTCCCCTCCTCAGGCTGTTCACCCCTCAGGACCTCTGCCTCTGACCAGACCCCTTACCCTCTCAGTTTGCTGACCATGCACCCTGGAACTGAAGTTCCTGGGGCCCCAGGTCTCTTTGGATATTGGGGGCTGCTAGGTGAGGTCATGGTAAAGACTCAGACCTGAACCCAGGAGCTCTCTGCCCAGAGCTGTGCCCAGGCCTCTATGGGTGCAGCCGTCACAGCAGTGGACTCAGTCCCCATGGCCACTGCCCCCAAACTGATTTCATATGAGTGTGCATGTGTGTATGTGTGCACGTGTGCGTGCATGTGTGTGCGTGTTTTGTGTGTTGTGTTGTAAAATACATATAATGAAAGTTACCATTTTAACCTTTGAAAGTGGGCAATTGAATGATTTTAGTATATTCACAAGGTTGTGTAATCACCACTGCTTAATTTTAAAAGTTTTCATCACCCCAAAAGGAAAAGTTTTTATTACCCCAAAAGGAAACCTCATACCCATGGGCAATCACTCACTCCTCATTCTCCTCTTCTCCCTGCCCCTGGCCACTGCTAATCCGCTCTCTGTCTCAGTGGATTTGCCAGTTGTGGACATTTCATATAAACGGAATCACACAACATGTGGCCTTTTGATACTGGTTCCTTTCACTTAGCATATCTTTGGGCTTTATCCATGTTGTATGGATATTGGCATACTGTTTCAAGTATGAATGCATGTATTGGCATTCATTTTCATGGCTAATACTATTCCATGGCATGTGTATACCACATTTTGTTTATCCATCCAACCATTGATGAACACCTGGGTTGTTTCCACCTTTTTACTTTTGTGAATAGCGCAGTTATAAATATTTGTGTACAAGTTTTTGTTTGAGTCTCTGTTTTCAATTATTTGGGGGTGTATATGTGAATTGCTGCTGGCTCATATGGTAAATTGATGCTTAACCTGCAGGGACCCCCAGGCTGATTTTGTCCCTGCAGAATGTGTTAAGGGAGCCTTGCTTTCTTTGGGCACTTAATGAACCTCTGAAGCCCTTTCCATCCCAGTGGTCCCAAGTTCATCTCAGAAACCCTCTCTGAAAAGTGCTCTCCTTTCTACATCCATGGCCAGCCTTACCTGCTGGTCGGGCAAAGCCTTCATCTCTTCGTTTCCGAATGTGAGCAATGTCTGCCTGCTGCCGACGCTCCTTCTCTTCCTAAGCTAAGCTCCTGGGTCCTTGCCCCACCTGAGCTAAAGCTTTTGTAGCAAAGAGGTTAGCAAAGAGACAAACCCAGGAGCCATGGTCCAGCTCTCACCCTCCCAGGTCTGCAGTGGCCTTGAGGGCTGCAGAGGTTTTTGCTAAGACTCTGACTCCTTTAATGACCTGGAACAGTTCCTCTGGGCCAGCCCTTTGGGGACAGGGGGTGAGGGCGTGAGTCAGCCTGTGTTTCCTGGTGTCTTTGTATGTGTCTTGTCTCAGAGTAGGACATGATTTGATCCTGTGAGTGGAAGTGGAAATTTTAAGCTGTAATTGGAGTTTGGGATTTTCAAAAATAGAAAGAGATAAGAAAGAGACTGGGCTTCAGCTGTCATCCGCTGTCCTCAGCTGGTGTTTTCCACATTGAAAACCTCCCCAATTTTCCTTCTTTTCCTTTCAATTACATGATGATACTTGAAACAAGTACCAAGTTGGGGTTTTTTTTTAAACATAAGCTTATTTTTTTTTCAGTCTCCTTATCCACGTAGTTCTTTAGTGGGAAAAAAAAGATTTTAAGAAACTCCAATCTCTGCAAAGCATTTGGTAAATTTATATAAATCATAGCTTACATATTCTTCAAAGTCTTATCACATGCCTTTCTCTCTTGTTTCCTCACAAAAGCCCAGTTAGAGAGGCAGGATAGTTTTGCAAATAATAATTTGTCTTTCTTTTATAGATGAAAAACCGAGTCCCCAGAGCTGGCTGATTTAGTTCAGGTCACACATATTCTAGATGGCAGAATCAGAATGGGAACCCAGGTGTCCTGTCAACCCAGCTGTCCTTGTCTTTCCCCACAATGTCACCTCCTTGAGGATTCCTCCCTGTGTTCCCCACCCCTCCCTTCAGGCCAGCTTAGAGGCCCCTAGGCTGTGTATCTATACCCACATCAGAACCATCTACTCACCTGTCCTCGCCTTCTCTAGACTGTGAGGTCTTACTCATCCTTGTACCTGCCACGATTCCTAAATCATAGTAGGTGCTCAGGAGTGCTGGTTGATCACAAGAGTGGACATCTCTAGGAGCTTTTTGATTGCCCATTCACAATGTGGTTTTAATTACATGACTCAGCGGAGAAATGAGAGGCCTGATGGCAGGGGTGGTAGATGGCCACGGGCTGATGCATTCAGCCTCTTGTAGTTGCTCCTGGTGAGGGTTGGGTAGGAGTTGGGTGGAGAGTAGGGACTTGGATTTGCTTGGAGGAGGGGAGAGGAGGGAGTGTGGTCCAGGATCTGCAAGGGTTCCACCAGCTGCCTGCTTGAGCCTAAGCATGGACCTTGCTTTAAAGATACATCCTGCTGGGGCATGCACACAGAGAACTCAGTGTGCCTCGGTGCTTTAATTGAGAGTCCCTCCATCCCCTAGCCTACAGGAGGAGAAGCCATCTTATTCAGCTGTAATTGACCCACCTGCTTGCTAGCAGCACTGACACAATGTCCTTAGAGGGAGCTAATAGATGCCCTCTTTTAGCCAGCACAGATTGAACACCTGCTGCCCACCAGGCTTTGGGCCAGAGCTGAGGAATACAAAAGCGGAGCAGGTACTGACCTCCCAGGGCACTCAGAGAGGTCGTGTCCTGACTTTGGTGACTCATTATAAAGCCTCTTGCAGGCCCATTCAAGGTCATAGCTTTATACATACTTAGACCCAAATATCCCTCACTACCTATCTGGCCTCCAAGACTCTCAGCCAAGCAGATACCACAAGTGAGCTATGACAGGAATAATAGAAGGACAGAACCCCTCAGAGCTTACAGGAGGAGTGCACCAGAGCCTGTTGCAGCCCTGGAGACAGAGCCCATGCATGGCTTCTGGGGAAGTCTGTGACCAAAGTAAGCAACCAGCATTTTATTTTCCATTGCAGGTTTTAAATACTGGGGAAAGATTTTTTTTAAAGTCAAAGCAAAACAGGATTGCAGTCTGGGGGTCCCCAAGACTACCCTCAGGTTTAATAACTTGCTACAAGGACTGAGAACTCAGCAAAACTGTTAGAATCATGGTTATGGCTTAACTACAGTGAAAGGATACAAATTAAAACCAGCAATGGGTAAAGGTGCACAGGAAGAGTCCAGGCACAAGCTTCCAGTTGTCCTTTCCCAGTAGGTTGTACAGATACCACTTACTTTTCCTAGCAAGGTTGTGAGGCAACATCACAGAGTATTGCCAAAGGGTAAAGCTCCCCGCAAGCCTCGATATCCAGGGTTTTTATTGGGTGTCAGTAAATAGACATGGCTAACTACCCTCATGGTCTCCATGCCTTTTCAGAGGTCAAGTTGAGTTGGTACCACACGGCCCAAGGTCTTCTCCATAAACCACATTGTTAGCATAGATTATCTGGTGTAGCCCACAGCCCCAGGTAAACAAAGACAGTCTTCTAGGCAGGACATTCCAAGGGGTTAGAGGTTACCTCCCAGGAGCTGGGCAAGGGCCAAACATATCTTTGGGCATGGTTAATCCTTTATTGCATAAGAGTCACAGAAGGACCTAGTACAGCTGCAGAGGCCCCAAAGCTCAAAGCAAAGGCAAAACCAAGACTTTGTCAGACATACAGAAGATATCTCTGAACTTCTGAGGTCATTTCAGAATTCAAGGAACAATTGTGTGTGTATTTGTGTGTGCACGTCCAGGTATTTGTGTGGATGGTGGTGTTTGTGTGCCTGCAGTATGTATCCATATGTATCCATGTATCCTGTTGACATATCCACAGACACACAATGACAGTGGCCCAAGAGCCCCAGAGGAACTGTGGCAGCTGGGCAGGTGCAGTGCTGACTATGAATGAACCATCTGTGACATCCCAGAGGTAGAAGTAATGCATTGAAAATGAGCATTTCTTTCCATGTGGGCCAATTGGTTTTCAGAGGCACCTTGTTACTGTCAGAATGAGTCACATGTGGGAGGCTGAGGGCCAAATTAAGTCTGTGAACTTAAAATCAGGCACTCAGTGAATCTAGAGTTTAAAATAAGAAGACAACCTCATTTGGGGGAAAGAATGAACCAGGAAATTAAATGGCTTCAAGGAGAAACAGAGGTTCCTGCCTGTGCTGGCCAAAGGGTGGTTGGTGCAGAGGATTGGAAAAGCAGTCCTGCCTGGTTCCCAGGGACCTGCTGGTTTTGATGGGCTGCCTGATTCCCATTTAGCTGTCCAAAAGTTTCGGTGTTCACAGCTCTTTGACACCTCTCTGGGCAATGTGGGGAGTTTTCCTCACTGCACATCAGGTACAGGGCTACTCACCCAGAAATGAGAAATTTGAAAAATATATGTACAGTGGCTCGATGGCTCCAAGAAGCTGGTGACTTAGGCTTGCATATTTTGAAAATGTTTCCTGCATGATTTTGATGCCGTAGATGGGGTGGCCTGAGGGACGTAGCAAGTAATGAGGCTGGAAAGCTAGAGATAGGCCTGTTCTTGATGGTCTGGGATGCTATGCTAAGGAGTTTGTACTTTGTCTTAGAGGCAGTTAAAGTTTTTAGCAGCTGAGTGGCAGAGTCAGATTTGCAAATCAGAAAGACAACTTTGGCAGCCATATGTAGAATAAAAGGAGAAGAGCAGGAGATAGAGTGGGGTCGGGTTTAGGAGTCCATTGTAGTACTCCAGGCTTGAGGGGATGGAGAAGAGGCAGGCTGAACTCAAAGAGCAGTTTTGGAGTTAGAACCAGCAGGATTTGGTCTGGTTGATGGGCTGGGTGAAGCTTCTTCATTTAGTGCTGCGGGGAGGGAAGACAGGTGATGATTCTGTTAACAGAAATAGGGAACTTAAGGAAGGGAGCATGTTTGGGGAGAAGACAGTGAAGTCAACCTTTGAAAGGTGAGTGAAATTCACATGGAGGTGGCCAATGGCATATTATATCTGGGTCTGGAAGCTAACAGGGAAGTCGGGGCCTGGTACAAATTTGTGACTATTCATCTGCAGGGGACAATTAAAGTTAGGACTCTGGGAGATGCTATTCATCAACTTATCCATGAACCACAGGCATAGAATGAAGCACCATGGGTGTACGGTTTTGCTTCTTGGGGCTGCAGTCTTGGGGTCACCTTCCCAGCTGTATCAGTCCATTCTAACATTGCTATAAAGAAATACCAGAGACTGGGTAATTTATAGAAGAAATGAGGTTTCATTGGCTTACGGTTCCACAGGCTGTATAGGAAGCATGATGCTGGCATCTGTTCAGCTTCGGGGGAGACCTCAGGAAACTTACAATCATGGCAGAAGGTGAAGGGGGAGCAGGCTGGTCACATGGCCAGAGCAGGAGCAACAGAGCAAATGAGTGGGGAGGTGCCACACACTTTTAAACAACCAGATCTCACAAGAAGAACATACTCGCTATCACCAGAACAGCACCAAGGGGATAGTGTTAAGCCATTCATGAGAAATCCACCCTTATGATCCAGTCACCTCCCACCAGGCCCCACCTCCAACACTGGGGACTGCAATTTGACATGAGATTTGATTGGGGACACAGATCCAAACCGTATCACCAGCTAACTATGTCCTCTGCCTCCTAGAGCCCCACTCGTGGTGAAGGCCTTCTGGAGCCCCTTCTTCTCGATTGCCCCTTTCTGGGTGTGCAATACTCTCCAGCCAGCCTCCATCATGTCCACCTTTCTTAGATGGCCACTGCGGCAGGGAGGTCCCAGCAGTCAAGGAAAACCTCTTAGCATTTTAGGCATCAGAACTGGAGAGGTCCCATTGCCCAGTACCCCCTTTTATAGATGGAAAAATTAAGATCCAGAGATGAAAGGGCTCTATGAAGGCCACAAAACTCATCTCTGGCCCTACCCTCACGAGGCCATCCCAAGCTCCCTGACTCCCAGCTGGGCTCCTCTCCATAAGCTAAGTGCGGGTCTGTTGTCTTACAGGACTACACGCGGGTGGTGTGCCCTGTGATCGATATCATTAACCTGGACACCTTCACCTACATCGAGTCTGCCTCGGAGCTCAGAGGGGGTGAGTTGGGCTAACACCTCCTCCCCAGTAAGGATTTTCTTTTCCTCTCAGTCACTGCTTTTAAGTGGGGAGAGTGAAGGAAAAGCTCTTAGTTGCTTGTCGAGAAAGCTCAGCCTGCAACCTGCACTATAATTACCTTAGCTTGGCCCTTACCACCAGGACTGTGGATGGAAGGGCTAGGGGGTGGGCAGGATGCTCCCAGCACCCAGAGCTCCAGCTCTAAGATAGGGCTCACCCCATTTAATGTCCAAAAATGTGATGGGAGCAAGGATTTCCCAGCTACATGTGGCCTGCATTGTTCTGATGCCAGCAGTGGGCACCACCCTCTCCTAGAGACGTGATTATTCTGTTAACAGGAGTAGGGACCTTAGAGAAGGGAGCATGTTTGGGGAGACCCACCCCAGCTCTCCACATAGGGCCCACTGTTGCCCCCACTTCAAGAATGACTTTTAGGTGACTCAGGTAGTTTAAGAGCCTCTCACAAACCTCCTGCTCACACCTTCCTGAGACTCAGTGCCAAGGCCCACATTCCATGACTGTCCATCCTGTCATCCTCGGCCCCTACCCCTAGGCTTTTTATCCTCTGCCCTTTATTTCTAACCCTACACAGCAGAGAAGGCTCAGAGAGGTGGTAGTGGGTAGAGGAAGAACAGGAAGCTGTGAACGGCGCTTTGGCAGCCATGCTGCTGATCAGCCTAGGGAAACCTGCAATCCCAGGGACCGGCCTCTTTGAGACCTACCTCTCCAGGACCTGGGTACATTCATGACCTTCTGGAGAGGGTGCAGAATGAGCAAGTGCTTTTGAGAGACCAAAGCAGGTGGGTTGGTGCTGTGTTGTAGGGTTTGACTGGAGCCTCCACTTCCAGTGGGAGCAGCTCTCCCCAGAGCAGAAGGCTCGGCGCCTGGACCCCACGGAGCCCATCAGGTAAGTGGGAAGAGTCTGTGCAGGGGTGGGCAGACCATCACCACTGGATCCTGTCAAGTGTAGGGAGGTGCTCAATATCAGATGTCAAAGCATCAAGCAGACAAAGGGAGCCCTTTGCCAGGCCATCTCCACTTTTGCCTTTATTTTAGGAGGTTTCTATCCTCTTGGGGACTTCTTGCTAAGGGGATGGGGGCCAGCAGAGGCCTGTGCTGAGGTGTGCTGCCCACCCTCACACATGCCATGATGTCCTTGTGCCTCCTGCTAATGTCGGAGCCCAACGTTGGTTGAGTGGTCCCATTCGGCCTCTAGTGAGGGGAAAGATGGTCCCTTAGGGCCAGGAGCAAAGTCCCAGGGTCTTGGACATCAGGATTCAGCCCAGAGATGTTGAGTCAGCCACTGCTGTAAGTGGAGGCCAATATGAAGGTCACTGTGACATATTCATAAGCACAGCTGCCCTGTTCTCTGCAGGAAGATGACAGTGGCATGAACTCTGGCTCTTTGCCAGGCTGTGGGTGGCTTTGTACTGACCCACATTCTCTCCCAGGCCCCACTGTGACCCACAGCATATTGTGGCTAGGGCTTTGCATGGGGCCTGGGGACCAACTGAGGGCTTGGGGTAGAGTAGAGCATAGTGGTCACCACACAGAGGAGCCTGTGGTCTCAGCTTCAAGAGTGATGGTCTTGGTGTCCTACCTACTGGACAGTAAACCAGTCCCGGGCCTCTTGGGAATACTTAAGCTAAAACAAGCCTGCCTCAGGCAGGGCAGCAGGAGGATAAGAAGTGTATGGATAGATACAGAGGCCACTGGATTTCTCAGTCCAGATTAGGGATGCCCAGGACTAGCCAAAGGCATCTCTGTGTCTCTGGTGTTGCCACATAGTAAGTATTTAATCATTTTTGTTGAGTTGGCTGAAGTCAAATTGAGGATAAAGGGACTAGCAAGAGCTAAGAATGGGAATGTGAATGGTGACCTTCCAAATGGGGGTGGGGACTCTGAGAACTCTACTGTGGGGTAGGACCTTGGTCTCATCTACCTGATGGCCCCTCCTTGCTCCTCCAGGCTTCTCTATTTGGAGAGATACCAAGAGGAAAATTGGAGCCAGTTGGTACCCAGGACAAAGTCCTTCATTTCTAAAGGGAGAGGGAGGAGGAGCTTCTTATTATGCTGAGCATCACACAGCTCACATCAGCTCCTCACCAGGGGCAGTGCATGGTGTGGGTGTGGGAAGAGCAAAGGGTCAAGGTGATGCTGTGCAGCTCCCATGGGGTTTTCCTGCCTCTGTCGCAGGGGTGGCATTCTCAGGACAGGTTCTCTTCTTGTGGGATAGCTCTGCTCATCAGAGGGCACTTGTTTCCCAGGATGAAGCCAGTTCTCAGAAAACAGCAGGATGTGGCAGCATCAGGAGACCTGGGCTTCTGACCAGCTGTCCATCAATTACTTCTTTGATATGGAAGAAAACTCCCTTCACCCTCTGGATCCACTGAACGGGGGCCAGGTCTTTGAGGGCTTGCCCACCTATCCAGCCACTGATTATTAGCTTGGAATCTGCTCCCCTCCTGCCTTCCTTGGTAGCCCCTTTTCAGGCATTTCTCTGGCATCTCTCCAGAGAAGTCTGGGGACTGGGACGAAGAAAAGGAAAAAAATATGAGGGTGTGTGAGTTTGCTAGGGCTGCTGTAACAGCATACCACACACGGGGCTGCTTAAACAACAGAAATGTATCGTCCCGCAGTTCTGGAGGAGAGGTCCGAGATTAAGGTGTCCACAGGGTTGCTTCCTTCTGAGGGCTGTTCTAGGCCTCTCTCCTTGGCCGGTAGATGGCCATGTCTTCCCTGTGTCTCTTCACATTCTCTTCCTTCTGTGTGTCTGTCTCTGAGTCCAAATTTCCCCTTTTTATAAGGACACCAGTCATATTGGGCTCATTACCTCATTTTAACTTGATTACCTCTGGAAAGACTTAGTCTCCAATTACAGTCACATTCTAAGATACTGGGAGTTAGGACTCCAGCATATCTTTTTAAGAAGGAATTCAACCCATAACAGAGGCATAAAGAGGGAAAAAAAAGGAGAGAGAGCCCAGTTTCAGGAAACAGATGTGCTGCTACCAAGTGCCGCCTCAGCCCTTCTCCTCTGCGTGGTCGGTAGCCCACTGTCCCTTCTCCCAGTAACAGAGCTCCCAAGAGAGCCCTGCTGTGCAGAGCCTGTGGAAGAGGCTTGGGGAAGCTCCCTGGGTCATCGGAATAGCAGGAGTCCTGAGTGAGCCCTGTGTCCCCATGGGAGATATGCTAATGAGTGAATTTGCCTGTCTGCAAGGTCAGGAGATTTACAATCACAGGAAAAACCCTGGAGCTTGTTCTCATTTTAGGTAACTGGAAAATATACTGGCCCTTCTCGAGAGGAACAGAAATGGGAAGAAAATGAGAGTTTTCTTCCCTCAATGGGGTTTTCTTTCCCCAAATGGGAAATGGGTGTTTCAGACTCAAGGGGCCGAAGAATTTGAGAGTGATCTCCCCACTAGAACTGATCCCCTCTCTTTTTCTTCCAAATGCACAGGACTCCTATCATAGCTGGAGGGCTCTTCGTGATCGACAAAGCTTGGTTTGATTACCTGGGGAAATATGATATGGACATGGACATCTGGGGTGGGGAGAACTTTGGTGAGTCCCTGCCTCTGCATCCTGACCTATGCTGTTCTATACACCCTGGGGATTGGGGCGGGGACCTCTGTGGTTTTGGATCCAACACCAAGCTGTCAGAGAGTGACACGTGCTTTGGATGAGGTCCTGGGAGATGGTGAGTTACTCTTTTGGGGGAAAGCGGGTAGGGTGCCAAAGGAATAGTTGTTGGAGGGTGTTGATAATAAGGGAATCTCTCCATGAGGCGGCTGCATGGATGTTGAGAACCAGGGAAACACGCTCTGACAGACTGTTAGGGGAAAGCTGAGATGCAACAGCCAGGAAGACCAAGGAGGAGCACCAAGTCTGAGGGGTCAGATACAGGCTTGAGCAAGGAGTGATGCATTTGAAAATTTGCAGTTGGAAGGAGCTTGAAGAGAAAGAATGAGGAACAGGAACAGCAGTGACATCCATTAACATCCATTAAAGTCTGTTGGCTTCTTTGATTGCAGCACTCAGTTTCGGGTAATGAGGAGGGTCTGGGGATATTTTGCCCTTATCTTATAGTGGGAGAGGAAGGGATGAGGGAATGGGGCTGGGTTATAGGACCCAAAACTGTACAAACAGATGGTTGGATCTGGTCATGGTGGGATAGAGCTGAGGCTTGCAGCCACAGGAGAAACAGCACAGTCAGAAAGACCCATTCCATCTAGCTAGTGATACTTAATACTCATTTCCCTTGTGTATTAAAGGTGTTAACGTCAGGATACTAGCTCTACTTCTTGGGGCTGTTAAAAGCCATTGAAGTAAATGTGTAAAATCTTGGCACCATGCAGGCATAATACATGTCAGTTCCCTCCAGCAGGTGAGACCTAGGAGATCACTAGGATAGAAGCTGCACGAGGGCAGGGGTTGGGGTCCATTTTGCTCCTGGCTGTCTCCAGTGCTTAGCATAGTGGCTGCCAGGTAGGAGGCCCTCTGTAACTATTTGTTGAATGAACACATCACAGTAGAGTAAAAGGGAGCCTCCCAAAGTGTCAGGACCCTTCCCTCTCTGGGTACCGTGGCACATGTCTGACACAGGCTCTCTGAGCAGGGGCTCAGGCCAAGAGAATGATCCATGGGGCACATCCCAGCATTTAGCAGTAATCCATGCATTGTCTGCTGCCATTGTTTTCTCCTGTTTCTGCCTCCAGGGTGTTTTATGGCTTTCTCCCTCAGTCACTAAGAGTTATTTCCTGGAAATTTATGGCTTCTGGCCTGACCCACAGCATCTGTTCTCCCAAACTGGGCAGTGTAGAGAAATGCATCAGAAAAGTCAGTCTCCTGCCATACAGGGTCCAGACTGGATGCCCAGCAAACAAAACAGAAAAACACCCCAACACCCACACAAAATCGAATCCCTTCCCTGGGACCCAGCCCATGAAGGCCTTCTGGAATGTGATAGGGGGCTGTTGGTGTGGGGTTCGAGGCTGGGTCTGCCTCCACCAGCCCAGGAGAACTTGGAGCAGGTGGACCTTTGGTGTTCTCAGTGGGGTAGGGACTTCTCTCTTATGGGGTGGAGCCCATTTTTATGTCTTGACAACCTCAGTATTTCTTATAGTTAGTGATTTGTTCCAGCCTTTCTCTCAGCCATCAGATGAATCCTCTCTACAGCATTTCTTATAGACAGCAGCCATCCAATCTCTGCTGAAATGTTTCTTATAATGATGCATTCGCTATTTCACAGTTTGGCATATTCTGTTGTAGATATATTTTTTGTTGAACTATTAGAGAATTCTTCTAAGTCAAAGCCTAGCTACCCCATCTTCTGTCTGTCAGGGCTTGTAGTGCCCTCTTGAACTGCACAAAGTGATTCTTCTTCCACATGGAAGTTCTATTTGGATTCAGGCAGCATGAATTTCAAGGATGGCACAGTCTGGTCCATTTTGGTATTGGTAGCAATACCTTTCCTTATAGCAATGTTAACACACATCTGCTCAAATCAAGTAGCAATCTCATCTAGCTGGCTTCCGACTCTTTTGGCATCAACAAGGGCTGATTGGAATAGAGAAGTTGGAGAGGGTGCTGGGAGGTGTGGGAGAGACATTTGCAATCCATCACAAAATTTTTAAACCACAAAAAAAGCACTGCCAACAGCTATCACAGGGAACACTTCATTTTATCCCACCCCAACATTCCATTATGTTATAGCCAGCTAACAGCACTTTGAAAGCCATTTCTGGATTTTTTTTTTTTTTTTGGCATTTTATATGCCAGAAAATGCAGTGCTTTTCCAGTGGTGGCTGTGTCACGTGGACAGTGTCACATCTGCGGGTGGGGATAACAAGGCACCTGAGTGCGTGAAGGAGGAATTTGAAAGAGGGTCCCCGTGAAGATCAGGGATTTGGATGGGGTGTACGAGTGATGCTCCAGCTGCGAAGGGGAGATGGCACTAAGGGGTGAAGAAAGGAGTCCTGGCTCCAGAGTGTGGCAGGAAGGGCCTCCTACCCACCAAGTCACCAAGTCCTGCAGATCAACTGCCCTCAGCATCACTCACATCCGTCGCCTTCTCTCCATCTGCTCCAATACTCTCCTCAGTGGTCCTCCATCTCTATTGTACTATCGAATCTGAGCTCTCACACCCCTGCCAAAGTGCTTGTTTTGAAATGCAAACCTCCCCACCCCTTCCGGGCCTGGCATTCTCAGTGGCTCCCTTTTGTCCTAAGGGGAGACTCACACTCCTCAGCTGGATCCCTCCCTCCCATGGCCTTGCCTGCCTCTCCAGCCTCATCAGCCTGCTCCTGCCTCAGCCTTAGGTCCAGAGGTACCAACAGAACCTCCCACTCTTCCCAGAGTGAGTCCAACCCACTATTAGGACCTAGCTTCCCTTTTCCACCAAAGTTACTCTGCTGCAGAAGCTGACCCTCTACAGGACTCAGCCCTGGGGCCACCTCCTCTAGAACCAGAAAGCTTTCCCTGCCCTACCTCTGGCCCACCCTCTCCCTCATTCTGCACCCTTCAGCACCAGGTTCTCTTCATCACTGCACTGAGCCCTTGTATGTGTTTGTCTCTTTCTTCTTCTGTGTCTGCCGCCCAGCCTTCTACCAAACCTGGGGCTCCTTACAGGCAAGATCATTCATTTGACTTCTCATTCTTGAGCCAGCAGTGGTAGAAACTACTCACTAAATGTGGGTTCAAAAAGCCAGAGACTGAATGGGAATGGGGTTCAAGATGGGAAGGGCAATATATATGAGGCTCCATTTAAAATAAGTTTCATTGGATTAAATGGAGCCCTAGAGAGACATGTTTAAGGGTTTCCCTTTAAATACGAGAATAATAGCAGCTGGTAGAGACATCTTTCCTTTCTAAGTAATAGAATTTCTGTGTGTTCTAGACATGTTTGCATGTATTGTGTTGTCTTTATTTCACAGCACAAAGACGCATGAGATGATTGGGACAGGCTCTGGCCAGAGTGTCTGTGACCTACTCAATAGCACATGGCCCTTGCCCTACCCCATCTTGGTTTTCATGGGTTAGAAGCAGCCACTGATGGATTGGCTGCCATGGCCATGTGAAAGCCGTGTCTCATACACTCACGTGCCCTGACCTCAGTGCCACCATTTCCAAAGTATTTCTAAGGTGAGCTGAATAGTTTTGATCATTACATGTGCATTTCAGCCTATGAGCAGATGTTAGGGAAATGTGGCTTTTAGATTTTTTTTCAGAAGTTGATTTGCATTAAAATTGGATGCTTAAACTGCAATTTACATAACACAGTGTACATGTA
Organism: Homo sapiens; assembly: GCF_000001405.40. Lineage (NCBI taxonomy): Eukaryota > Metazoa > Chordata > Mammalia > Primates > Hominidae > Homo > Homo sapiens. Next base: position 30,938,473 of record NC_000002.12, on the reverse strand, counting down.
ATGTGTCTACTTTGAGCTGCATCCTACTTTTAGCTTTTGGTCTTTAGAGATAAAAGGAGTCTGTTAGAGAGAGAGAGAGAGAGAGAGAGTGTGTGTGTGTGTGTGTGTGTGTGTAAAAGGAATCTGTTGCCCTAGTATAAAGTCTGTGTGTGTGTGTGTGTGTGTAGGGTGTATGTGTGTGTGTAGGTATGTAAGCGGTGCATATTTCCAAAAAGGAGCCCTTGGCACATATATGAAGGGTGAATATGGGATTCCTGAATTTAAAATGGGGGATTTCCAAAGCACAGCAGGCACAAAAGGCTGCCGAGAAGAGAGAGGTGAGTTGGGGCCCAGAGAGGAAGTACCACCACCTGCTGTCCCAGAATGTAGTCAGGGACACCAGGCTATGCCAGGCTCGGCTCTCCTGAGTGTGTAAGTATGTGTGTGGTGGGGGGTGGGTGGGTGTGTTATGGGAAGAATGTGGGCTGTGGAATCAGGTAAGCCTCAGTTTAAATCCTATAATCATCACTAAGCATTCATAGGCCTGAGTTTAAATCCTGTAATCATCGCTATGCATCCTTGGGAAAGTTACTTCACCTCACTGAGCCTGTTCCTAAGTCTTTAAAGTGGAGACTGATCCCCATAGTAGGGAGAACAGCCCTCCCAAAGATGTCCACACCCTAATCCCTGGAACCTGTCAGGATGTTACCTTAGGTAGCAAAGGGATTTCCCAGATGCGTTTCGGGTCATTAATCAGTGACCTGAAGGTAGCAGATTATCCTGGCTTTTCTGAGTGGACCCAATTTAAACACTTGAGCCCTTAAAAGTAGAGAACTTTCTCAGGCTGGAGGCAGAAGAGAAGTAGCAGATGAAACCAGAGAGATGTGAAGCCCGAGAGGTACCGACCACGGCTGCTGGAGGGGGCGACATGGAAGTAGCCGAGAGAGGCCCCAAGTTGACAGCCAGGTGGAAAAGGGAACCTCAGTCCTGCAACTCCAAGGAAAACTGAGTTCTGCAAACAACCTGAATGGGCTTGAAAGTGGATTCATCTTCAGAGCCTTCAGAAAGAAGCCATCCTGTTGACACCTTGATTTCAGTCTGAGACCCTAAGCAGAGGGCTCCGCCAAACCCACCCACTAAGTTTGTGGGGATTTGTTATTGCAACAGTGGAAAATGGTAGTAGGCCCCACATCACAGGGCTGTTGCAAAGATTAATTAGATAATGAAAGTGCCTGTTCTCCACCAGGGTGAGCTGCCTTCTCTTTCAGAGAGCAGGGATTGTTAAACGAGGATTATGTGTGACCTGCTGGAGTAGTTTATTGCTTGACTTTCTCTTTCAGCCTCACCCTTTCCATGATTGGTGGCTCAAGATTAGGGACATGACCTCATCTGAGAAGAGCATACAAGTGTGATAGCAAGTCAGCTTTTCCCCCAGATGGAGAGTAAAGCTAATGCAGCCAGCACTTTGTTCCTTGTCTGAGCTACTGGCTAAAGCCCCATGCCCAAGGGAGACCCCCTGAGGCCGTCCTTTCCTGCTGCTTCTCAACTTCCCTACGTGTAATTGAGTCCCATCAGACACTAGTTGCTCTGTTTGCATAGAGAATATGGAAAGATAAAGGTGTCACCTGGCATTTGCAGTCGTATGGGCATTGCAGATCATGGCATGCCTGTGGTCAATACTTGTCTAGAGTAAGAGGTGTGGATGGAGACTTGATTGTCCCAGCTGTGGGTGAAATGCAGTTTTGCTCACAGATTCAAGGCGATGTTTTCTGGGCCAATAAGATTATCTCTACCCAAGTCCCTTCATTCATTAAAGAGTAATAACAGAACTTGCTTTCTAGCCCAGTAGATGTTGGGAACTTAAAAATTACTGAAAGGCAAGGTTCCCCATTGTACATAAATATGTGTGGACTTATGAATGACAGTAGCCAGGTGAGTGTCTGTTTCTCAGACAGAGGTTTAAACTTGGCCAAAAGTAGAATGGACAATGCTATTGTATACACAATACACACACATATACATTATACGAGGCTCCATTTAAAATGTAGTACCCACGTGTAATAATTCTCTTTGCCTTTGTTTAGAAACCAGGCTATAAAATGAAATTAGAACCTTGACCAGTATGGCCAAGCAGTGGCATATGAATAGTCGTGGTTTGCTTCCTGGAGAGAAAGCTGCTCCTTCTCCCCTGAATTCCTGCCCACCATCCATGGGCTTGCCAGGTAGAAGTTGGTTCTGGTGAAGGGCTAGGACCCTGGGAGGGGTGGTAAGCACTACTGATCAGCTGATGGAGAGACAGAAGGAAAGTGGGGGGAATGGAGGGCGGGAGGGCAATTCGCTCTCAAATATTTACCTGACGTTTAAAGAAAGTAAGATTATAACAGTGCCCCGATGAGGATGGAATAATTACACATCTGCATGCCTGGAATTCAAAGTGGATTTGGGTCTCCGTGAAGTGGCATTCATCACCAGGGAGATTATGTGGGCGCTGACTCAGCAAGAACCCCCAGCAAACTCTCTACACAATTCTTTTTTGTTCCCTCCTCCCTCACTTCAGAAATGATGACTGTGCAGGTGCTGCAGCCTCGAAGATCAGAGGCCCTAATCTGTACCTGGAAGGTCCACCACCTCACACGTGAATCTACAGCACTTCTGATAGCACTTGTCCAAGCCCCCTTCACAGGACCTCAGGTCCTGTGACTGTCCCAAAGGTCTCAGCAGATATCTACGAACCACCAGGCCTGGCCTGCAATCCTGAGAGGATACACATCATTTCCTTGAAGCTGGTGATGTAGATAAGGGTAGAGCACCTGTATATCCCACATTTTAAATAACCCACACTGTCATCCCTATAAATCATCACACTGATCTGAAAACTCCAAGCCGCATCCCTCAGACTGCCTCTTGACTCTGGCAGCAGCACAGCGATCCATGTCAAGACACGTGCCTCCAATAATTCCAGGCATAACAATCTGAACTCCAGAGTAGAGACACTCTTAACTCATCTCGGCTGCAGGTTCCTCTGGGCGGCAGCAGCCAGCCTGAAGGAGACCTGAGATGGACATCCTTCAGGACTGGATGAGTGAGTTGATAGGGTAGGAATGTGACAGCTAACTATGTATTTGTCACTCTTGTTAGTTTGTGAGTGCCTTGAAGTTGGTTTCTTTGCATCCACAGCTCTACTGGCTGGTGGAAGATGTTCAGTATGGAGGCAGGGTGGTGTCAGGGGAAGAGCATGAATTTCGGAGTTGGAGAGATGTGCTTCCCTGCTTTTGAATGCCACCAGCTTCTCGCTCTCAGTTGTCCTATCAGAGTTGCTTCTGCATCGCAAAATAAGAACATTAATAACAATGGAGCAGGGTTGTTAGGACTAATCAGCTACTGCCTGCCTGGCCCAGAAGTAAATGAAGGGGTCATTTTCCTCCCATGGCTAATGCTTGCAGAATTGCAATACTCAATTTTTGTACTAAGGCAACAGACATAAGAAAATTAGAAGGAGGAAGAATGTCTTTAGAGGAGGCAGGGCTACAGCAGGCTGTAGGAAGATGCTGAGGGCATAGGAGATGTCTTGGGTGTGATAATGTCCCGTCCATCTCAATAGATACCTCAGCCAATCATGGAAAGTTGGTGCCAGAGCTTGGGGCAGAGTTGGGGCTGGTAGGATGGAGGTGAGTCCTCAGCATAGAGTGAACTCTGGGAGCAGAGGCGACAGCAGTGTCAGGAAAATGCTCAGAGGCAGAGCGTTGAGGGGATGTAGGAGAAGAACATGGGGAGACCAGAAGGAAGGTAGAGAAGGATCAGGGCCAGGCAATGGTGCTGGCCTAGCTGGGGACCTGTGCATGGCTGTGGCAGAAGGGAGGGGTCAGTAGATTCAGAGAGAAATAAAGAGCTGGGAGGAGGGATCATAGGAAAAGAAACAGCTAGTGGAGAACGGTGGTGGGGCATGGGGTAGAGGCCCAGGTTGGAGGGATTCGCTTTGCAAAGGGACATATGTCTCATTTGAATACAAGGAAAGGAAGAGACTGTAGATGAAACCCGTACATATCTTTAGAAGAAAGCTGGCACAAGATGTGTAAGTTATATCTAGCGAGCAAGGACTCCATCTCTAGTGTTGAGGAATTGGAGGGTTTTCCATTTTGGGAACTGGAGCAGGCCCTGTTTTGAGTCTCTGGAGAGGAGTTGATTGGAGCACAGACATGAGACTGAAATTCACACGTGCTGACACAACTCCACGCACCGACCTCCAGGTTCCTCTATGTGCTACTGCAAGATGGGGATGTGGGTGCCAGGCAGTTGGCTGAGCTCACTCCTTGCTCAATGACTCATGTGAAAAACGATTCAAACAGTGCCCCAGCCAAATGCCAACTCCCTCTGTACAGTGGGACTTTATGGAGAGTCGAAATCTCAAATGTGAAGTGCACACATTTCAGGTGTCTCCTGCAGTGTGGCAGAAGATGGGAAGAAGCATCTGTAAGTCATCTAAGAAATTAAAAGGGGGCACAGGTGGGTGATGTCCATGTTTTAAAGAGATTGGCTTTAGAGGGATGTCTCATAATAACTCCTGCTGATCTTTCAATCACACTTAGCGTTTACACAGTTGTTCTCAAAATTCTATTTGATTTGATGCTGACGGCATTCCAGTGGAGTGTTTTTATGACATTTGTTTGACATAAGAGCAAATCAGGCCTCCGCGAGCTTAAGCAGGTTTCCCAAGGATACAGCTAGCTGGTTACTGCGGACTTGGGCCTGCTGACTGTGAAGCTAAATTCTTCCTGTTTCCTTTCCCCCATGTTATTGCCATGATTCAGTAGCAGTCATGAGAAGTGCTCTCTTCCTCCTTGAGTCTACATGGTCCCCACCCTGAGGGGAATCCAGGCTTCCTGGGAGTGAACAGCAGTAGGCAGAGGGGCAGGTGCAGAGAAGGTGGTGGAGTAGGGCTAGTGTGAAAGAAGTCTTACCTCAGTCCAGGGGCCTTTCCAAGGAAACGTGGGAGGAGACAGGTAGGTGACAGGTAAAGGTGGCTGGGGACAGGGGAATGAGAGCAGGGTGCAGGACACACATGTGATACGAAGGCCCTGTAATACCTGTATCCTTGTTCCCTTCCCCTGAACACCCAGCCTGCTTCCCCATGGCTCCTCACATGGGCAGCCACATGCTTGGGCTCGACTTCAGAAGCATCAGCCAGACCAGAATACCTACACATGAGGAGCTGCCTTTTCTACCAGTGACAGGCCCAGTGGGATGCAGGAAGCAGCCTGCCCTCGCTGTGGTCAGTTAGGGGGTACATTATCTGTAGAAAATTTAAGAGCAATGATAACACTCACAGTCATTCTGCTTTTGAATGTCACCATGCACTGGCAATTTTAACCAATGGCAGTGGTAAAATTCCCTCCCTCCCCACTTGGTATGCCACCACTTCCTTCTCAGGGCAGAAGCACTACTTCAAGCCTGCTGGGGTACAGTCCCGGGGAGAAATACACTCACCACAGCCGCCTCTGCTAACTCCATCCCACCCACCTCTCTGAGGGCCCATAGCAGCAGCCAACCAGGAAGAAATGGGTGTGTGTACAAACCTAGGGGACACCAGCAACAACAGCTTTGAGGCTTCCAGCATTTTCTAGAACTGCTTTCAGCTCTAGTTAACTGCACAGACTTTCTCCTCCTGGGTTATGATTCAGGTGGCTCTTCCCCAGTGGTAGAATTGCATTCACTGTGGAAGGAACTTTTGTGGACACCTTGCCCTGAGGCCTTCTGGGGACTCAGTCCCCTTTGTTGCATCCTTGCCGTGAAGTTTTCTAGCCTGTCCTGAGTCTTCTCACAATGGTCACCTTGTCCCTGATTGTTAGAAAATTCTCCCGTATTCTCGATTGAAATTTCTTTCTCCTTGGTCCTGACTCTAACCCTCTGGGATCACAGGGAGTGCATCTAACCAGACTTCCACAATGAATTCTTCCGCAAGTTAGAAGGCAACTCTCTTAGTGCCCCCAAGGCTCCTCCTTTCCAGGCTAAGAAGTTGCAGCAGAGCCCCTGCCCCGCCATGCTGGCCCCTGAATATGCTCCAGAGGCCAGCGTGTTGGTTTGCACTGTTTCCCTGCTCACTTATACCACCCTCCAAAGTGGTAGGACTATTCCCATTTATGGATGGGGAAACTGAGGTCTCTCAGCCAGTGGAGCCTACAGACTGGCTGCAGAGTCTGTTCTTTCGCCTCTGCGGGGGCCTCACCGTTTCATTAGACCTGGGGCCTCAAAGCTGCAGCAGCAGTGATAAGAGGTCATAGGAGGGGCGTGACTGTCTTGCAGAAATCTCCTTCCGAGTGTGGATGTGCGGGGGCAGCCTAGAGATCGTCCCCTGCAGCCGAGTGGGGCACGTCTTCCGGAAGAAGCACCCCTACGTTTTCCCTGATGGAAATGCCAACACGTATATAAAGTAAGTGCCCAGGGGCTCAGCGCGGGTGGGCAGCAGCACAGGCAGCCAAGGCTGGGCGGCTGCTGGTAAGGGTTGCAGCCGTCCCTGGTGCTCTGTTAGGCTGCCTGTGTGATTTGAACTGGCCGGGGCTGCACCTCGTACTACCCAGACTCTGCTTGGATAGGGAAGGCAGGCCTGTCACATCCAGTGTTAGGGCCTGAGGCTTCCCTAATGCTTCTGAGGCTTCGGAAGGCCCCACATGAGGCCTCGTGGGCTTCAAGTCACCCATCAATGCCCTCCTGCAGGGCATGGGCTCCAGATATTTGGGGTTTTGTGAGATGGGGGAAGGGCAGCCCTTTTTACTTTGGAGTTCTAGAAGAGCCACTGCCCCACCTTCGGGCTGGGTCACTAGGGGAGAGGTCTTTGGGCAGATGCAGGGAATGGGGAGGCCCAAGGGATGCAGCTTAGGTCCCTGCTCCAGGGCCTGGCCAGCAGAGTCAAAGGGTCCAGGCTGGGGCAGGGCCTGAGACCCTGGGCTCCTGTCTGCTGGTGTGCTCTCCTCCTGTCTGGGGGGTGGTTCTTACTGGGACTCAGAGACCCAAGGGTGCCCACTTGCCTGTTCCCTGCTTCCTCCCTTCATCCACTCTTTTTTCCTCCATTTCTCCTCTTTCGATCTTTCTCTTCTCCTTTCAGAATAATTCGTGAATATTCCTCTTTCCATCTTTTCCTCTTGATTCTCTCTCTTTCCCCCACCCTCTATCTCTTGTCATCTGATAGCTTCTCCTCCACTTGGTCTCCTCTTCCTTTTTTTCTGTCATTTGGTCCATTGGGGTAGGGGGAGCTGTGTCATCACATCCTGACACAGCCACCCCAACACAGCTGTCCTGAGGAGACATGGGTTTGAGCAATGGGAAAATTGGCCACACCTTTTACAAAAACGTGAAGGGCAAGGGTAGGGTGATAAGAAAATCAGCAGGCCAGGAAGCAGTGGGGAGCAAAGGCAGGGCTGCCTCAGCTCTCAGGTTTTAAAAAGTAAAGGTGAGCTGGGGATGTCTGGCACAGGGAAGTGGTGGCTCTGCAGGAGCCATGTGGCCGCCTGGAGGGGGGCCGGCCTGGAAATGAGGGGCAGAGCCTGGGGCTCCAGACAGTCATTGTCTTTGAGACTGGGCCCTGGCCAGTGGGCATCCTGCATGACACTGGTAGGTCATTCCGTTTCTAGAAGATTGTGGCACAGATGTCTGCTAAACAGCTTCCAATGTGCTAATGGCTAGGTCAGTGGAAGGGGCCAGGGAGGCACTGTTAACTGCCTCCAGTGCCCCACCAACCAGGCTGTGTGTGCATAAACTGTCATTGCAGGTCCTAGCTTAGAAGGGCTTGCCACGCTCCTCTCTTGAATGCTTCTGCTCTAAAGCAGAGCTAGCATCTGAAAGAGCACCCCCTTTTCAGTTAGGCCCCAAGTTCCCTTACTTGGCCTCAGCAGATACCACTGCTGCCCAGGCCACCAGCCACCTGACTCTTTTCTGACATCTTTTCTCTCTTTTCTGGGGCTCTTTCTGGTACGCCTGATGGCTGAGGGATCCTTAGTGTCTGTCTCTCTGTCTGTCTCCTTTTCTGTGATTCGTGGGGTCAGAGTCAGGGCAGATAACCTGATTTTAAAAACTAGAGTGCTAGCAAAAAGTCTGGAAAGAGAAGCCTGATTACTTAGTTCTTTACACCTGCAGCAGGCTAACTGCATGGCCTATGGGAAGACCTGTGTGTGCCCACTTTCCCCTTGGAGAGCTGGGACCTGAGTACTTCCACTGTGGTAAAGGATAGAACCCAGGAGCAAGAGCCCGAGGACAGCCAGAAGCTAGATGCCCATGCAGGCCCTGCCTTTGCACTCTTGGTTACTGGCAGTGAAGGGATGCCAGTAGGGTTCCTGAGCCTTTTCTCCCTATTTCTTTGATAGCCACAGAAGTTCAGTTTCTGGCATGATTTTCCTGGTCTGTATCTTTTGGGGGAAAGGTTTGTTGTTACTAAAGGTGAGCATCCCTAATCCAAAAATCTAAAATCCAAAATGCTCCAAAATCTGAAACTTTCTGAGCACCCACATGATGCCACAGGTGGCAAATTCCACACCTGACCTCATGTGACGGGTTGCAGTCAAAATGCAGGTAGACAACCCACAGTTTATTCAGCATCCCCAAGGGAAAAATATCATTACCTTCAGGCTATGTGTGTAAGGTGTATGTGAAACATGAATGAATTTCATGTTTAGATTAGATGTGAGTCCCATCCCCAAGATATCTCATTATGTATATGCAAATATTCCAAATTTAAAAAACCCCAAATCCAAAACACTTCTGATTCCAAGCATTTCTTGTAAAGGATACTCAACCTGTACTAAAATCTTGTGTCTTGGGGTAAAGACCCCTTTGGAGATTGGGTGGGGCTTGGCTGGGCTCAGTGCCCTGGGAACAGGAATGATAGTCGGTTGACCATGGTGGCCCCCACCTAGGTGGTGTTGCCAACTCAGCCCACACATGTGTATTTTAACTGGCACTCACAGGGCCTCTCAGACAGCCCCTTACTGACACCCCTTGTCACTCCTTGTTTTCCCAGGAACACCAAGCGGACAGCTGAAGTGTGGATGGATGAATACAAGCAATACTATTACGCTGCCCGGCCATTCGCCCTGGAGAGGCCCTTCGGGAAGTAAGTGTCCCTTCAGGTTGAGGAGGGCAGAGACTGCAAAAGAGCCCAGCTCCTAGGACCGATGCAAATGGGTGCCGATAGGCCAGTCAGCTTAGCTACCCTCAGCTCCCGCAGGGCCCAAGGCTGTGGCTTCTTTCCTATTCCTCAGAGCTCCTGCCCAGCTCTGGATGTGCAGGGCTTTAGGCAGCTCTTGTGGAATGACTGCCTGGCAACCTGGACTGCCAGCTCTAGGGGAGCTGAGCTGTGCCTTGTGCAGTGGACCAATATTTCCTGCTTTTTGCAGACAGGAAGGAGGCAGGACTAGACAGCCTTAGTCCTTCTAGGTGGGACTTCTTCCCTCCAAGTTCTAGGTCATCCAAGCCTAAGCTCTCTCCTTCCTTGGAGGAACAGCATGTGTATAGATGTGTCCTCTACAGCAGTGCTCAAGTTTCATGGGAGGAGAGGACAGAGAAAGGAATGTTTATTAAAAGCTAGATACCAGGCTTGGCGTGGTGGCTCACACCTGTAATCCCAGCACTTTGGGAGGCCGAGGTGGGTGAATCACAAGGTCAGGAGTCTGAGACCCGCCTGGCCAATATGGTGAAACCCCAACTCTACTAAAAATACAAAAATTAGCTGGGCATGGTGGCGGGCACCTGTAGTCCCAGCTATTCGGGAGGCTGAGGCAGGAGAATCGCTTGAACCTGGGAGGCGGAGGTTGCAGTGAGCCGAGATCACGCCACTGCACTCCAGCCTGGGTGACAGAGCGAGACCCCATCTCAAAAAAATTAGTTAATTAATTAAAAATAAATAAATAAATAAAAGCTAGATACCATTACATAAGGCATCTCATTAATCCTCCCAACTCTGAGGAATGGGCGTAATGACTCCTGGTTTACAGATGAGGAGACTGAGGCTTCTACAGGTTAAGCTTCTTGCCCTAGATGACACCATGGCAGAGGGGGGATGGTGGCTCAAACCACACCTGTCTGATTTCAAAACTTGGAATGACCTTGTATTCCCCAACCCAGGGCTGATTAGAGAAAAATAGCAACTTCACTAATGCTATCATTTATGTTTCTTTGGGGGCAACCAATGGCTTTTTGTCATACTAACATCACCCACTCATCATACGAAGGCTGTTGAGCAGATGGGTTTTTTGCAGCCTAAATTCATAGGTTGATCCCATCACTGAGTGGGAGGATTAAATCAGAACCCACCAAAATGATTTGCATCTCTGAAACCATAAATCCATGCTGCCCCTCAGGTTCTCTCACTCCAAACCTCCAAGGCATTCATTTTCAGTCCTCATCAGAACTTCCAATCTGTTGGCCATATCAACCACATCCCCCTCACTGCCTTCCCTCTCTAGCTTGGATTCTACTCTTTTAAAAACTGAGCTCAAAAGGTCTTGTCCTCAGACCTTCTGTGCTGTTCTCCATCTAGCAACACCATCCCCACAGTTCATCCAGGTTCAACCTTGGATGAATCTGACTTTGCACCCTGTCCTCCTGTGCACACAGGCTGCTGAACAGAACTGGGAATGCCAGCTGGTGCTACTAATAATACACCGTGGTCGTCAGTCTCAGCAAGGCCTGCAGTCTGCCCACTGGCCCTGCTGCCTCTCCTAGCTAGCGTTCTCCCTCGATCTTCATTAAACCTCCACTCTTCCCAGCCCCTAGTCCACCCCCCTCTTTCGCTGGCAGCAGATGACACCTTCTGTTTTACAGATGAAATAGATGACATCAACTTCCCAAAACAAACCAACCCATTAACTTCACTGCTTCTGCAGCATCCTTCTCTGTCTCTTGTCTCAAAGGACAGGCTGTGCTTCCTGCTGTGGTCTCCATCCCTCCACCTGTACTCTGGATGAACCATTCATCGCTGCATTCATTCATAAATCAACATTTATCGAGTTCCCACTGCCTGGATTCATCTCCTCTTGCCTCCTGGCGCAGGGCCTCTCAGACATTAATGTGCACGCAGATTTCCTGGGGATCTTGTTAAAATGAAAATTCTGACTCTGGAGGTCTGTATTTCTAATAAGCTGCAGGTGATGCAATGCTGCCTGCTTGAGTGCCACAATTTGAGGAGCAAGGTTCTACCAAGGAGATTCCCAAACTAGTCTGCATATCAGAGTTCCCTGGGGAGTTTCAAACTGACTGCAGTCTGTGCCCCTCCTCTAGAGAGTTGGTTTACTTGCTCTGGGGTGTGGCCTGGGCTGTAGAATTTTTCTAAAGACCCCACACCAGGTGATTCTAACATGGGGACAAGTTTGGGAACCACACTCCTTAGGGGGCTTTGCCCTCCGGGTGCCTCCATTCTCTCCCTGATCCCCGGTCTCTCCTCTGCTGCATTATTCCCATCATCATTTAAACTTATTCAGTGTCTTACATCTTAAGAAAAAAAAATAGGAAGGGGAGGAAAGAAAACAAACTACAAAAACCCTCCTTCAGTCCAACATTGCTCATAATCCATGCTCTGTCTTTTCCATTCCTCCAGTGCCCAGCTTCATGAAGCAGTGGTCTGCTTTCCTCTCTCCACTCCCCTCCTTTCTCCTGGCCCCCAAGCCCTGAGACTGCTCCCACCTGGCTCCCTCGTGACTTCCTTGCACCCTGGACTGTCCTCTTTCGCTGCCCCATCAGCATGAGTCTTCTCCCACCCCCGGCCCCTCTGGTGTCCCCCAGTCCCTAGGCTTCCAGAACTCTGCAGGCATGGCGTTTCTTCTGCTGCTAGGCACTGCTTGCTTGGTCCCATTTGCAGGCTGTTTCCTCTTCCTACTCCTTGCATGATGGTCTTGCCGGAGGGTCCGTTAAAAAGCCTCTTCTTACTACATATTCTCTCTGGCATTAAGCACTATATCTATGCTGCTGATATTTGCATCTCTATTTCTAAGCTAAACCTATCCTTTGAGTTCCAATCCCTTCTATCCAATTATCAACTAGACACCTCCACCAGGATGTCTCCCTGGTACCTCCAACTCAACAAATCCTAAACTGAACTCATGACGTTCGCTCCTAAACTTACTCCTCATCTGATATTTCCCATCCCCGTGAAGAGTTTTCGTTGCACCTGTTGCCCAAGTCAGAAATCTAGGTGTCAACCTTGAATCCCTCTCCTTCTCTTTCCCATCCTTGAATCCCTCCCCTTCTCTTTCCCATCCAAATGATCACCAAGTCTTGGTAACACTGCACCATCATGCACTGAGCACACAGGCCCTTGCTAAACACCCAATATTCAGCATTTTAGAAACCTGACATCCTTCCCATCCTGATGGAGCTTAGAGTCTGGTGATGAGCTGTGGTTGGTGCTCTGTAAGAAGAAGTTATAGTGCAATCTTGAGGTGGGGAGTGGAAGGAAGTGAGTTGGACAGGAAGCAAGGCCAGCTCTATGTGTTTGCCCAGGAAGAAAAAGACATGGATGAACTTAGGTGGGTGCCGAGAGGTGTGGAGGCACTCAGCCTGTTGTTCTTCATTCCCACCCCCACTTCCCTGTTTGAAAGCATGATCAGCACCTGAGTTTCCACAGCTGCCTCCTCACTACCCTCCCTGGCCCCAGCTTTGCCCATCAGACCCATTTGTGGACCAGCACTGAAATGCTCTCAAAGTACAAACCACCTCTTGCCCTGCTTAGAACCCATCAGTTTCATCCCAGTGCCCTTTAAACAAGTCCAAACTCCTTGGCAGTGCCTCACGGGACCCTTTATGGTCTGTCTTTGCTTTCAACTCACCCATTTCTGCTCTTCCAAATCACCACCCATACATTCACATACACATCTATTTTAAGATCCTGCAGCACTCTTCCTGCCCGCAGAGCTTCTTTCATGTCTTCACATGTCCTCATCTTGCTCTCCCCACTGCCTCTAGCAGGGGCCCCTACCTCTGGTTTGTCTAGATAATGTCCCCTTTTCCTTCCAGATACCAGCATCACCATTACTACCTTGACCACCATGGACCCGACAAGCAAGGGTCCCCCTCTGAGTTGTTCCCATAGGTCCCTCCTGCTCATCCTATGTCACCTGGGCTGTGATGGCTTATTTCATTATCTTTGCCTATTGTTCAAAAGCTTTCCATAGTATCCCACATTGGGTACAATGCCTGACACATAGTAGGTGCTCAATGAATATCTAATGAACAAATACATGACCAGGCCCCAGAAACAGCCAAATAAAAGGATTTTTTGAGACTGGGGCAGCGGGGAGTGGTGTTTCGGCTGCAGAATCCAAAGAGAAATTGTGAATAAGCAGGCCCAGAGCCCCAGCGGTAAATTATTAACAACACACTGAATGTTCTTGCAGCTTTGTTTTGAATGAAAAGTAAAAACACCCCCAAATTCCATCTTCAAGTAAAAGCACCAGTCCTCGCTGTCATTACCGCACCATTGTGAGATATTGCTAAGTGTTTCCATAGCTCTGTCTGCAGTTATAGAAATCTGTTCTTGCTTAATTTCCCCAGCACCTTCCAGAGAGATGTGAGCACAGAGCATGGGCATGGGTCGCGCTTTGTGTTCTCAGTCTGGACTGGCGTTGCTGGCGCCTGCCTCTGACAGCTGTGTTTTGTCTTTGTGTCTGTCCACAACCCCGTTGCCCCCAGTGTTGAGAGCAGATTGGACCTGAGGAAGAATCTGCGCTGCCAGAGCTTCAAGTGGTACCTGGAGAATATCTACCCTGAACTCAGGTATCCGTCCTACCTGTTGGAGCTTTGGCTGGCTGAAAGCAGAGGCCCTCAGCTGGCTTGGTCTGGAGAAGAGACAGACAATGACCAACTGGATGAGGGCTTTTATGTATATCAGAGGTGTAAGAAGACCAGTTGGCTCCGTTCACCCCTAAAACCCGGAGGGACCTTATACTGAATCAATAGCATGAAGGATTACAGTTAGCCAGTAGCAGTATTTCTCACCTGCTTGGGTTTGAGCCCTGACTTACAGACTCACTGACACCAGCTTCACTGCAGGTACTCATCTCCCTCTGTAGCTCCTGGGTCTTTCCTTGCCACCTCATTCTTAGTGGCACCCTGCCCTTCCCCGAGCAGTGCAGATATTTTCTAACAGCCCAGCCCTGCCATTCTCAGAACACTGCCCACCCTCTCCAGCTGGTAGTCTTGCTAATCCAATGAGCAGTGGACTCTCCTCTCTCCCTGTGACTCTCCTCCAGCATCCCCAAGGAGTCCTCCATCCAGAAGGGCAATATCCGACAGAGACAGAAGTGCCTGGAATCTCAAAGGCAGAACAACCAAGAAACCCCAAACCTAAAGTTGAGCCCCTGTGCCAAGGTCAAAGGCGAAGATGCAAAGTCCCAGGTAAAGTAACTGGCTGGGCATACAGGACCATGTGTCACAGTAGAGGGAGGCAGCCAGATGACTCTGCCTCCATCACCTGCTCTTACATGACATCAGATGCCCATTTATTCCCAGAGATCGGTAGTGGAGCATGAGAGGTGTGATCCCCCCACTCTGCCACTGTGCTTACACTGCTTGCTTTCCAAGTGCATAGAGTTCCTCTGAAAGACAGTTTAATAGGCAGCATCCTGCCTATAGGAAATTGCCCATTAAGTTAGCAGGAGCTTAATGAGTTTGTTGTAGTTGGTGTCCTACCTGCTGGCAGCAACCGTGGGCAGGGTCAGGCAAGGCCAATGGCACAGCTAGCTCGCAGATGTGAAATGCAAAGAGGGAGAAGACTGCCGCTGGGTGACACTGCCTTCTGGGACAGGACGGAATGCCTGCTCTGTGAGTCTCCCAGCTGATTTAGCTCTGACTGGCAGGTAGTCACATCAGATTTGGTAAAACCCTCTCTGTCTGCCACCCTGTCTCTGGGCAGCATCCTTCTTCATCCCCAGCTTCACCTCTGCATCTCCTGCCTCTCCTAAGTCTGCAGGACCCCTTGTGGTCCCTTCTCTGAAAGGTTTCCTGTGCTTTACTTGATTGATCAACAAAGTATCTCCCCCTCCCTGCCATGTTTTTTGGGACAGTCTTCTCCCATCTGAGGCTAGAACTGTTGTTTTAAAGGTCACTGACAAATTCATAGCCTGTCTCATAGCACTTGGCCTGCTGACTGCGTTAAAGTACGGTGGCTCACGCCTGTAATCCCAGCACTTTGGAAGGTCAAGGTGGGTGGATCACCTAAGGTCCGGAGTTCAAGACCAGCCTGGCAAACATGGTGAAACCCTGTCTCTACTAAAAATACAAAAAATTAGCCGGGCAGGGTGGCATGCGCCTGTAATCCCAGCTACTCAGGGGGCTGAGGCAGGAGAATCGCTTGAACCCTGGAGGCGGAGGTTGCAGTGAGCCGAGATCACACCATTGCACTCCAGCCCAGGCAACAATAGTGAAACTCCATTTCAAAAAAAAAAAAAAAAAAAAAAAGGCACGTTTGTCTATGGCTTCCTTGCTAACTCCTCACCCCCACTCTCATACCCTTCTGGCGGGTATTCATCAAGGTTCCCAGCTCACTGTTCTTTTCTCTACAAACGATTTCTTGGAGATTTTTTCATGCTTCCAGCTTTGACAGTTTCCTGTTTATTGATTCACAAATTCCTTATCTTCATCTATCCATGAATTCATTTATTCATTCAACAGATACTTCTTTATTAACTATGAAGATGCAGAGATGAAAGACTAGGTTGCAGGCCTGAAGGGCCCCTCAAAGGGCCTAATGTAAAAATAAGCTAGAAAGTAGTATGATGTAATCTCTGTCCTGGATGGAGTTTTGTCCAGGATACCATAGAAGTTGCAAGAGATGGCATCCAAGTTAGGTGTGAGGCTCAGGGAAGATTTCCAACCGGACTTGGAAATGAGTTGTATTCTCAGAGATGAGTAGAAATAGGCCAAGTTGGGAAGGGAAGAAAGGGTGGCCCAGGAAAGACCTGGAGCTGAGCAAGGGTGCTAGTGAGGATGCTGCCTTTGCAGGACAGTGGGAGAGTAGGGTTGGAGAGTGGGATGTGAGGGGAAGGAGCAGCAGACGGTGAGGCTGGACAGAAAGCAGGAGCTGAATCCTGGTCTCTCTTCCTGTGCTGAAGAGGTTATGTTTTGTTCTGGGAAACAGGATGCTATGAGATCTCAGGAGAGGGTTGGGAATTGCAGATTTGCAGGTGCTGAAGAGGTTGCTTTTTGTCCTGGGGAACAGGATGCTATGAGATCTCAGGAGAGGGTTGGGAATTGCAGATCTGCAGGTGTAGATCTCCTACCTGGACTTTCTCAACACTGGCTGATTGAGTGAGTCCATGCCCACAATGAACTCACTTGTGACTCAAGACAACAGATAGCCATGAGCATCTATCAGGCACCCTGGCTGCCTGCTTGTCCCACTAGCTCTCTCCATGTGACCCCCTTCTCCCATGACCCTCAGTTCCAGCCTGGTCCAGCTTCTGTGGCTCTTCTTTCTCCTGCACCCCTCATTGTCTCATATCTCAGAAGGGTTGCTCTTAGATCCCATGTTCACTTCTTCATGCTAGATCAGCATTCCTTAATCTCAGCACTCTTGACATTTGAGCTGGACGTTTCTTTGTTGTAGGGGCTCCCCTGTGTATTGTGGGAAGTCTAGCAGCATCCCTAGCCTCTGCCCACTCTTGCCAGCAGCACCTCCCCACCACACAACTCAACACAAGTCACGGCCATCAAAAGTGTCTCACACATGACCAAATGCCCCCTGAGGGACAAACCTATGCCAGTTGGGAGCCACTGGGTTAGATTACAGCAAAAGCCTCCACTTGCTTCTCCTGCCCTGGCTGCAGCCCTGCCCCTACCCTGACATTGAATGTGGTCATTAACCCATTGTTCCCAGTCTCAGCACAGACATCGATGGCTCCTATTGTCTATCACAAAAGCCAGACTCTTGGCCTTGGTACTTGAGGCATCTCAACCCAGCTCCAGCTTGCGGTGGCTTTTCCAGGAATCATATCTCTACTCCAGTAGGGCAGGGGAGGGAGCTGCTTGAATCAGACAGGAAAAGGGAAAGGAAATTGAGGTGTTGATTTTGCTTAAGGCGTGACTGCCTGGATGAGAATGACATAATTTGCTCAAGTGGCATTTTGCAAAATGTTGTGAGTAGGGGACACACATCCCTGTCTTCTGAATCTGTGTGTGGGCAGTGCTGGTGGGCAGCAGCCAGAGTGTTGTCTTCCCCCTTTCCCTGGGGCAGGAGTGTGCTTGGTCTGTTTCCAGCAGAACAGGGGACTTTTCTGGTACCTGACACCTTTGGCTGCATAAAGAAGTGGGAGAAGAGGAGCCAGGTCTCTGTGGGCCTCCGAGAGGGGCCCTGCAATGCTCTGGCCCTGAGGAGAGTTGTCAGGCCTTTATTTGACCAGAAGGTAATAGTGCCCATCCCAGCTGACCTTCCTGTCATGTGAAAAAGGGGAGGGACAGCAGTCATCTGGGGGCAACTCACACTCATCCTGGGCATGGCCTGTGGGTGAGTAAAGCATCTTCTCTGGAAGATGGTACTGAGATGCCCCTCCTCTCTGCCTTGGAGAGAACAACTGGGTTGGTGTCACCACAGTGTGAATGTGGGGTGCTGGGAGAATACTCCTAGACAGGATGACGCTCAGTCCACTTCACAGACTGTACCACGGCCCAGGGACCATTCCTGCTGGGATGCAAGGTGGCCTGATGCTGGGTGAGACAGAGCCCCTGCCCTCCAGGGCCTACGGCACGACTTGGATACATTTCCAAGTAATCTGGAGGTGTTAAACCCACATGGGACTGAAAGAAATCCACATGACCATGCCAGCTAAGATAATCTCCCTGAGTATGTGTGCCTATGTGTGTGTGTGTGTGTGTGTGTGTGTGTGTGTAGCATACACTCTCATAGGACTGACTTATATGGCCTTTCTCTTCTTTTCAGTGTCCGCTCCTCCTTCCCATGTAAATGTCCTGTTTTCCCACTTCCCAACCCCTTCTGCTAACACTGGGCTTTGTCACATTCTCTCCTCTTATGGCTGCTTTGCCCCCATCACCTCTTCCTACCTCTGTCCTCCTACTTGTCCTGCCTCTTGGCCTGTCCAGAGGGAGTCACATCTGCCCCTCAAACCCCTAAACATGGTTTGTTCAGTCTTCTCTGCTCCCACTTCTTTTGCCTCTGAGAGGCCATATCAGGGAAGTGACATAAAAGCCTGTTAAGTAGATGTTGCTATTATCCCATCGTACAGATACAGGCCGAGGCCAAAACAATGAAACCAAGTCTTGGAGAGGTTACCCAAAGTCATATCCTACCAATAACGGTGAAGATGGATTTGGAGAATCTGGCCGCATATCATAGCTCTGCTCTTGCTGATGCTGGAGAGTCAGGGCTGGCTCTGAGCTCTTTTAGACAAGTGTAATCAGGTGAGAAGACACCTGCCCCTGAAATTCCTCTTCTAGGTTGTAAACATTAAAACCATAAATCAGCTCCACCTTGACAGGGGAGAGTGGCAAGAGATTCTTCTTCTTGGCCAGTTTCAAAGGACAATCTTTATGAAAAGATGAACGAAGGTTGTACCCCCATGTCAAGGTCTCGGGTGGAGGACCATGCCAGAGAGTAGTCCCCTCCCTTATGTTATGGGCATTGGGACAAGAGCATGAATGGAGGCTCCTACTCCCAATTCCACACCAGAATGTGGGACACATACCATGCTGGCTTCCTGTCTTGCCTGTCCCCATTTCTTCACACCCTGGCTGCATATCCAAGCTGGGTCACTCCCAACTAAATGGTCCCCCTTGGGCCTAGGGCTGTGTACTAGGGATATAGTCTACCCTCAGAGGACACGCTCAAAGGCGAAGAAGCAAAGCCGCAGGTAAAGTAACTGGCTGGGGATACAGGACCATGTATGAACCCAGGGATGAGATCTACATAGGTTTTTAAATAAGGCTTGGTCCTTTTGCCCTGGAGACTCTAGGGTCCTCAACTGTGGAGTAAAAGCACCAGAGAATGGGAGCCAAGGGCTGAGTTCAGCTTTAGCTGCCCACAGTCTCTGCAGGCAGGTGAGCCCCAGGCTCTGGGGCGTCCTCGTTGTTGAAAGGAGACTGTTTTGTCCTCTGGTTCTGACACTGGCTCCCGATGCTGCTCCACCCCCAGTCCTATCCATTCCTCACCTGCCTTCCCTTCCTCTCTTGGCTGACTTGTCAACCTTGGGAGCAAAATATTTAATCTGAGTGTGTATTGAAGATGTCAGAAAACTGATGCCTTAGGTGAAATGCGAGAGAAATACATCATCCGTTTGTAAACATGTGAAGCCCGAGAAGGTTAACAAGTTTCCTCTTAACTTTATTGGACTCTAGAAAAATATTTGTGAAAGGTAGAAAGAATACAGGTGCACCAATCTAGTTTCCATCCCAATTTAAAGAAAGGGGAAAAACATAAGATATATTTTTAGCTCGTCCTTTTACCTGTCTCCCAGTGTGTGGGCTACTGGCTGTGGAGCATGCAAGGTGGGTACCCTGGGTGGGCAGGTGAAGATAAAGTCTCCCCCTAATCTGGACTGGCACTGGTGCCTCGAGGTGTGTGAGCCTGAGTCTGCCGGTGGGACAGGCTGCCTGCACACCACCCTCCCTGCCCGATGCCACCCTCCCTGCCTGATGCCACCTTCCCCGCCTGATGCCACCTTCCCTGCCCGATGCCACCCTCCCAGCCCACACACCACCCTCCCTGCCCAATGCCACCCTCCCTGCCCGATGCCACCCTCCCTGCCTGATGCCACCCTCCCTGCCTGATACCCCCCTCCCTGCCCGATGCCACCCTCCCTGCCCGATGCCATCCTCCCTGCCTGATGCCACCCTCCCTGCCCGATGCCATCCTCCCTGCCCAATGCCACCCTCCCTGCCCGATGCCACCCTTCCTTCCTGTGCTTTGTCAACACAGTCTTGGGAATGGCTCCATCCCTGCCTCCAGTATAGCTCCTGGGCAGGATTCCAAAGGAAGGTCTGTAAGGTCCTCTCTCTTCTTGTTGGCTCCCCCTGGTCACCATCGTGAACACAGCAGACAGCAATTGAGCATTTGCTAATGGAAAGCACCACTCTGGGATAGGTATTAACCCATTTGTTCCTTGCAGTGACCCTCTTAGAGACTGATGTCATCCTCATTTTACATGCAAGGGAACTGTGGTACAGAGTTGAGTAACTCGCTCAAATTCACAGGTTAATAGGCAGCTCTGTGGGGATTCTAGCCCTGGTATCACCCCAGGATCCAACAACATGACCCAGCGAAGATGTACTGAGTGTGGGCTTTAATCACACATATAAGTGTAATCTTGCCACATGGGAGGAAAGGACAGAATGGGCTGGAAATAAAGAAAAGACCCCAAAAGTGGGTTCATCAAAGTTTCCAATGGAAGGAGGTGTGTCTAGGAGCCCACCAGGTCATCCTGCTGCCTCTGGAGAAAAAGCCTCCACCAGGGAGGGACTGAGGCAGACCCCAGCACAGCCATCAGCTCACTTGTGCTGTTGTCACAGTTGGTACAATCACTGCAGCTGATGCTTCAGAGAGCCAGAGGCATCACGAGGGCAGTTCATTTGAATTCAGGCTCATCCATTCTAGATGCCTTGTTTGAAGGGAGAGCTTCAAGGCTATGTCTCAGGGACCGTGGAGGTACCCAGTATGGACTAAGATGTTCAAGGCCCTGGATACTTGGCTCAGGTCTCACCTCACCAAGGAGAGGCCAAGTTCAGAATCAACCCTGGGGTCTGCTTCTGGCATTGCCAGAGTAACCATTGGCCCCTTTGATCCTCAGTTTCCTCTTCTACAAAACGGGAACCGTAGTGGTTATGAGAATTAAATAGACAATGAATGTGAAGCAACTAGCACCAGGCCTGGCCCTTGAAAGAGTCTCTTACAAGCAGTTGTCACTTTGGCTGTCTAACTACAACAAAACCAGCAGTGCTGTCCTGCCCATGCCTGGTGGTGTCACCCCTCCTGGAGAGAGTATTGACAGATGGGGTAAGGGAGGCTTGGAGAGACTGCCCAGGTGGTATGTGAGTAATGCCAGGGCATGGTTCAGATACAGGCCTGCCACCTGCAGAGCCCAAGCCCTTCAGGTGAGACTAGGGCTTCTAACCCTCAGCACTACTGGTAATAGGGCCAGATCCTTCTTTGTTGAGGGGTTGTCCTGTGCAGCATGGGATGTTTAGCAGCATCCATGACCCCACCCACTGGTGGCTAGAAACACTCCTTCACCCAGCCATAGAACCAAAAATGTCTGCAGACACTGCCAGAGGTCCGCTGAGTGGGGAGAGTCGAGAGCCGCTGCTCCAGGCTGATTGTTTCTTGCCTACCAGAGGCAGGGGCCCTGGGCCATTCCAAGAGCAGCTCCTCTGCCTGGGCCCAGGCTCGTCCTCACTCCTGCCTCTTTTTTTTTTTTTTTTTTTTTTTTTTTTTGAGACGGAGTCTTACTCTTTTGCCCAGGCTGGAGTGCAATGGCATGATCTCAGCTCACTGCAACCTCTGTCTCCCAGGCTCCAGCAATTCTCCTTCTTCAGCCTCCTGAGTAGCTGGGATTACAGGCATGTGCCACCACACCTGGCTAATTTTTGTATATTTGGTAGAGATGGGGTTTCACCATATTGGCCAGGCTGGTCTCAAACTCCTGACCTCGTGATCCACCCATCTCAGCCTCCCAAAGTGCTGGGATTACAGGCAAGAGCCACCGCGCCTGACCCTCTTTTAGTTACCTCTTAAGACAATCTTTCATCCCTGCTTCGCCATCCTGTGCAAGACCACAAGCCCCAGGCTGGGTGCTGTGGCCCGTCTGCATCCCAGCTTCCACAGCTATGGCCAGACTGGCATCTGCTAGAGAAGGTTACTGACCCCTGCCTGTCCCCTCCCTGCTCCCACCAGCAGTGGCCATCTCCAGACGTGTCCTCCAAGCACAGAAGGTTTTAAGGCTGTCTGACCCAGTCGATCCCCTCCTCATTCATTGGTGACTCCCCTCCTCCTCAGCCCCCAGCTGGCCTATCCCAGTGGAGGGGGCAGGGTCACCCACACCAACTAAGGACAGTCTCTGGGTTGCCCTTCCATGGCTACAGCTTTGGGATAGGAGGGACGGTTCCCGGACCAAACCGAGGGTTGAGCTGCTTATTCTCATGGCCCAATAATGAGATGCAGATGAACTGGGAAAGAAGAGAGTTTATTTCTGTAACCGGGCACAGAGAGAAAACCTGGAAATTATCACCAGACCAACTCAAAATTACAAAGTTTTTCAGAGCTTATATACCTTCTAAGCTGTTTGTCTACGTGTGAGTGTGCATTCATCTAAAGACATAAGTGATTAACTTCTTCTAATCTATAACTAAGGTCTGAGTCCTGAAGACCTTCTCCTGGAGCCTCAGTAAATTTACTTAATCTAGATGGGTCCAGGTGCTGGGGTGATTACTCTTATCTTGTCTCCTGCTAAATCATGGAGGTTTGGGGAGTTCCTTCAGACCCCAATAAAACTTGTTTGTGGAGGTCTGGGGAGTTTCTTCAGACCCCTGATAAAACTTGTTTAATCCTAAACAGGTCCTGTTAAGAATTCCTTCATTATCTTGTCATGCTTCAAGGCCCAGGAAAAGCCTAGACAAACTCTTGGTGGGCTTTTGTTACATATAAGCTTTTGTAAAAGGGCACTGGCCCTTTCAGCCTTTAACATTTAACTTACCCACTCAGTCAGGGCTGAAAGTTGTCTTAGAGGCCTGCCTGTTCAGCTGTTAGGGAGACCTGGCCTGCCACAGGACCTCCATCATGGGCTAGGCTTTTGCCAGGCCCCCAAACGAAGCCACCAGCAGAGGGCCCAGCACTCAGCGAATCCAGGCCAGACCTGCTGAGCAACCTCTGCTGCCTTCCTGGAGTCTGTTTCTGACTGCAGGATTCTTTTAATAAACTCATTCATCATGGCCCTTCTGGGAAGTCTGACAGGCTGCAGAATGGAAATCCGAAAATGCTCTCCTTGCTTCCCACCTGTATGCTCCTGTTTCCTGCTTCTCCTCCCTCCTCTCCTCTTTCAGATGTGGCCAGACATCAGCCTTCCTCTGGGACATGACGAGGCTAAGTTATTGAAATGCCAGGAAATACCAGCTAATGGAAAGTCCACTTAGCATGAGGGCTTCATTAGCTGTGCCTGTTCACACATTCTCCTTGGGGGTCTTTGAGATGTTTTCATCAAGTCCCGGCCTGGGGACACACCAGATGCCCAAATGCATTTCTTCCTGAAAGGCATCTGTGGACAACAAGGGTAGAGGATGTCAAAATAACTGCCCACCCACCCACCCATCCAGCACTTCCAGTTTTGGGACCCCTAGGATATTAAAAAAGAAGAAATGCCAAAGTGGGCTCTCAAAAGAGGCTTTTATATTTAATCAGTTAATGCTTTTAACACAAAAAACACAATGTCATTGTATGATGGTGATTGTAAGATAATGGCAGGATTCATTTTTGAAATACTAATTTGTGGTTCCCTACAGACTCTATAGTCAGGTAATGGGTCAGAAGGAATGAACTTAGTCTTTCCCTTGTACTGATCTCAGGGCATATGGCTTCCTGGTAGTCCAGCTGTTGCATTTGACCTTTTGGCCCTTCTCTCTCCTCCCCACAGGCCAAGGAATATTCTAGGCCCACCTTCTAGATCACATTCTGGATATTTAGGACTTCAGAATCCCCCACCCAAATGGCCCCAGCCTAATTCAAAACCCTGCGTGGGTCTCATCCCTGGGTTTGTCCTCCGAGGGTGGACTGTGTCTCTAGTACACATCCCCAGGTCCAAGGGAGACCATTTAGAGGGGAATGACTCAGCTTGGATATGCAGCCAAGGTAGGGGAAGAAAAAGGCGGGGCGGCTCAGGCTAGAAGCCAGCACTGTGTGTATCCTATGGTTTGGTGTAGAATCAGGAGTGTGGGCCTCCATTCATACTCATGGCCGAATTACTCTATTAGAGAGGGCACTATTCTCTGGCCTGCCCCACCCCAGACCTTGGCAAGGGGGTACAACCTTTGTTCATCTTTTCATAAAGGTTGTCATTGGGAACTGGCCAAGAAGAAGAATCTCTTGCCACTCTCCCCTGTCAAGGTGGAGCTGATCTTTGGTTTTAATGTCTACAACCTGGAAGAAGAATCTCAGGGGCAGGTGTCTTCTCCCCGGATTAAGGTTATCTAAAAGAGCTCAGAGCCGGCCCTAACTCTCCAGCATCAACAAGAGCAGAGCTGCTGGAGAAAGTTGGTGTGGGGGCCACTTGCTGGTGTATGACTTTGGATAGCCTCTCCGAGCCTTGGTTTCATCATCTATAAAATGAGGATAATAGTAATACCTACTTAATAGGATTCTTATGAAAATTAATCAATCTGTGTAAAGTTGTCAGGATAATGCTGGGCACATCATAAGCGCTCAATAAATGTCAGCTCTTATTAGCAGCAGCAGCAGCAGCAGCCTGGTCATTGCACCACCTCTGTGCGGACAGACTTGTTTCCCCTTTCAGCTTATCTTGGAGAAAGGCAAATGGGATGTGTAGAATGTGATGGTCACAAGGCCAGAGAAGAACTTCTTGATATGTCCCAAGGAATGTATCTCATGACTTTTTATTATAGAAAATTTCAAATATCTATAGATACAGAAGTCGAATAGTATAAAGAACGCCCATGTACCCATTGCCCTGCTGTTAAGAACAAGACTCAAGGACAGTCTTGTTTCATCTATATTTGCATCTCTCCCCAGGGAGTACTTTCTGATCTAGGTCTTCTCCCAACACCAACAGTTTGAAAAGGGATAAAAGAATCCTAATGCAGGAGCCATTCTCCCACTAGGCCGGTGAGTCCCAGATCAAGAGAGCCAGGCGTCATTGTACAGCAAGTCAGGTTGACTCAAGGTGGACGTATTCAGGACAGCAGAAGGTCCTGAGCCTGTGGGAGTGGTTCCTCCGAACCACCCAGGTCCCAGAAAACAATTAAAGCTTTCAGCAGCCCATGGAGGTCAGGAGAGGACCAGGGACCAGGAGGGAAGATGGAGAACGAGAGACAGATGACCACCATGTCTGCCTGGGGGACACCTTGTCCTAGAGTAGGAGGCTGGCCTGCTAAGTGGACTTTTTCATTCTTGGGCCAAGGGGAAGTAGCCAATGAGTAACCTGGTCCAGAGGCTCAGGGTCAACTTGTTTCAGGGATGTGGTGGAAACAGATACAGCCCTCAAAGGATCCTCCGCAGCTTCCCCAGGGGACCCAATTCAGGAATCATCTTTGCCCCCAGACGGAGGCAAAGGGTAAATATTACCTTATTTTACAACCTGGGGGAGAAAACGCTTATGCCAGTACTTTCTGCCCCACTGACTTAAGAACTGGGAAGTGCTTGTGGCTTCATAATCCAGTTACTCTGTGATCTCTGGTACTTTGGAGGAAAAATGTTGGAATCATTCCTCATAATGAATGACACAGCATGCCCTTCTTCCTGATGCCAACAGAACTCTGCTTGTCAATCCAATTTCTCAGCTTCGCTCCCTGAAAGAGCTCAGGGGCCAAAAGATCTATTATCCTGGCACATGCACCCTCCTGAAATAATTTGAATCCTCATAACATTCTTCTTTCCCTAGACCCTTCTTTATTCATTCCCTTGGAACACTTGTTCCATTTATCCTTCCATCTGCCTCTTGTCATAACTCTCATGTGCTCTAGTCTCATGTGCTCTGGACACTGACTTGGACTGCCTTTCAAAGAACAGGGGAGAGTCTAAAGATATCTGGTATGGAGGGGTGGGGAGTTGACCTGCTAGATGGCTGCTTGAAATGTCAAGTGCTGGGAACAGACCCCCTCGAGATGTTTTCTCCAAACAAAAACTGTGGAGCACACAGCTCAGCTGGGGTTGTTGTTCAGACTCCTGCCCAAAGCCCAGAATTGTTCAGGACTCCCAGAGGCAGCCTGAATGGCCCAGGCCCAGGCCCCTTCATGGGGTGGATGGAGATTTCCATGGAGATATGACCTCCGAGTCTCTGGCACTTGAGTAGCATTTTCCAAGGTAACCTTGATGATCATTGCCTACTGGGACCCTTGGTGCTTCTTACCAGCCTGTGCTAATCACACCCGTAAGTGTGGTTGTATCCCACGAGTGGTGGCTTCCTGGATCCTGAACAAACCTTCCTGGTCTCTTTCTCCCCAGGTATGGGCCTTCACATACACCCAGCAGATCCTCCAGGAGGAGCTGTGCCTGTCAGTCATCACCTTGTTCCCTGGCGCCCCAGTGGTTCTTGTCCTTTGCAAGAATGGAGATGACCGACAGGTAAGTGCTCAGCAGGTCCCTGGGATGTGGCCAACTCCGTAATGTGACTGCCTGTTGAGGGCTTAGTCTGATGAGCAGGAAAAGAGAGAAATTGTTAGAAGAGGAAGAGTTGATAAGAGAGGTCAGGAGAGGGAGGGAAAGTGCTGCCTGGGATCCCCTCTGTGATGCTAGCAGCAATGGCAACATCCACCCTCACTGGTCAGCCTGCCCCATGAAAGCCTATTGATTTCCACTGACCACACCATGCCCAGTCATCTTCTACTTTCCTGTCATTGCTCTGTTCCCCACGTGGGATCCCAAACAAGGATCTCAGGGTCACAAGGATGAGCAAGACTTGACCCTTGCCTTCAGGGCCCTGGGCTCTGGCAGTATGTCCCCCAAACTTCCTAGCATTCTGGATGCACCACATGCCCAGTTCCTCTAGCAGCAAAGTGATGTCTCCATTCAGTTTCTTGCCAACTGGGTATTGGTGTTAGAGAGAACAAGATTCAAATGCCTGTTTTATGGTTTACAGGCTGTGTGACCCATGGCAGGTTATTGGACCTCTCTGGATGTCCATTTCCTCCTCTCTGAAATGGGGTTGAGAATGTCCACTACACAGGGCAGCTGTGACTGTCTCTTGGCAGTAACGTGCTCAGTGCCCTCTCCGGGGTGCTTCCCCTGATGTGTCCAGTCCCTCCTTTGTCATGCGAGGTCAAGTGTGAGAACCTGCTGCATGAGACCTGCCTCTCTGCTCTGGCCCGTCGTGTGCTGACACATTTTGAAGAAGCCCCCAGCCCCTCCTGCCATCACACTCGCTGCTCCCAGCTCTTCCCCACTTCTCTGCCATCGTGCAGATGCTGAGTGTGGATCGTTTCTTAGGTTGCTCCTGTGACTAACTCGCTTCATGTTTTCTGGGCTACTGCTTGGAAAGTTATTGCCTCCTAATGAGTTTTCCTAGTAAACATATTGATTTTGCTTTTAACTTTTTTTAATCCAATTTAAAAAAAGAAACCAACAATAATACCTGGTAGAGCAATTAGTTGCAGTTTTAGTGCTTATGAAACCATGAAATCAAGTCTCTCAGTGACCCTAGACATGAGGCACCTACCTTTCTGATAAAGCTGGAACTCCCATGTTACTGATGGCACCTAGTTCATTCACTCTCTTCTTTGTCTTACCAGCAATGGACCAAAACTGGTTCCCACATCGAGCACATAGCATCCCACCTCTGCCTCGATACAGATATGTTCGGTGATGGCACCGAGAACGGCAAGGAAATCGTCGTCAACCCATGTGAGTCCTCACTCATGAGCCAGCACTGGGACATGGTGAGCTCTTGAGGACCCCTGCCAGAAGCAGCAAGGGCCATGGGGTGGTGCTTCCCTGGACCAGAACAGACTGGAAACTGGGCAGCAAGCAGCCTGCAACCACCTCAGACATCCTGGACTGGGAGGTGGAGGCAGAGCCCCCCAGGACAGGAGCAACTGTCTCAGGGAGGACAGAGGAAAACATCACAAGCCAATGGGGCTCAAAGACAAATC
Organism: Homo sapiens; assembly: GCF_000001405.40. Taxonomy (NCBI): domain Eukaryota; kingdom Metazoa; phylum Chordata; class Mammalia; order Primates; family Hominidae; genus Homo; species Homo sapiens. Next base: position 30,910,699 of record NC_000002.12, on the reverse strand, counting down.
CCACATGTTCTCAAGGCCGTTAAGTTCCAGTCCTGGCCAGTCATTCCCTGATTGGTATCTGGAGACAGAAACCTAATGGGAAGTGTTTATTGTTCCTTTTCCTACAAAGGAAGCAGTCTCTGGAGGCCAGAAAGAAAAGCCTTCTTTTTCACTAGGCCAGGACTACATTGAGAGATGAAGAATGGAGGTTGTTTCCAAAAGAAATAAAGAGAAACTTAGAAGTTGTCTCTGGACATCTCTTGCTCTTTTCTTCTTTTGTTGGCTCAGGGCTAAGCTGAGCTCTTCACGGAATAGGGGCATGGGGTGGGGGGCACCTGTGGCAGAGTGGACAAAGAAGACAGGGAGATGGGAGACCTGTGCCCTTATCCTGGGCTGCCACCAACTAGCTGTGGGATCTTAAAATGACATGTAACTTCTTTGACCCACCATTTCCTGTTATGTCAAATTAGGAGAGTGGGACCAGATCAGGGGTTTCTTTTTTTTTTTATTATTATACTTTAAGTTTTAGGGTACATGTGCACATTGTGCAGGTTAGTTACATATGTATACATGTGCCATGCTGGTGCACTGCACCCACTAACTCGTCATCTAGCATTAGGTATATCTCCCACTGCTATCCCTCCCCCCTCCCCCCACCCCTCAACAGTCCCCAGAGTGTGATATTCCCCTTCCTGTGTCCATGTGATCTCATTGTTTAATTCCCACCTGTGAGTGAGAATATGTGGTGTTTGGTTTTTTGTTCTTGCGATAGTTTACTGAGAATGATGTTTTCCAATTTCATCCATGTCCCTACAAAGGACATGCACTCATCATTTTTTATGGCTGCATAGTATTCCATGGTGTATATGTGCCACATTTTCTTAATCCAGTCTATCATTGTTGGACATTTGGGTTGGTTGCAAGTCTTTGCTATTGTGAATCATGCTGCAATAAACATACATGTGCATGTGTCTTTATAGCAGCATGATTTATAGTCCTTTGGGTATATACCCAGTAATGGGATGGCTGGGTCAAATGGTATTTCCAGTTCTAGATCCCTGAGGAATCGCCACACTGACTTCCACAATAGTTGAACTAGTTTACAGTCCCACCAACAGTGTAAAAGTGTTCCTATTTCTCCACATCCTCTCCAGCACCTGTTGTTTCCTGACTTTTTAATGATTGCCATTCTAACTGGTGTGAGATGGTATCTCATTGTGGTTTTGATTTGCATTTCTCTGATGGCCAGTGATGATGAGCATTTTTTCATGTGTCTGTTGGCTGCATAAATGTCTTCTTTTGAGAAGTGTCTGTTCATGTCCTTCGCCCACTTTTTGATGGGGTTGTTTGTTTTTTTCTTGTAAATTTGTCTGAGTTCATTGTAGATTCTGGATATTAGCCCTTTGTCAGATGAGTAGGTTGCGAAAATTTTCTCCCATTTTGTAGGTTGCCTGTTCACTCTGATGGTAGTTTCTTTTGCTGTGCAGAAGCTCTTTAGTTTAATTAGATCCCATTTGTCAATTTTGGCTTTTGTTGCCATTGCTTTTGGTGTTTTAGACATGAAGTCCTTGCCCGTGCCTATGTCCTGAATGGTAATGCCTAGGTTTTCTTCTAGGGTTTTTATGGTTTTAGGTCTAACATTTAAGTCTTTAATCCATCTTGAATTGAATTTTGTATAAGGTGTAAGGAAGGGATCCAGTTTCAGCTTTCTACATATGGCTAGCCAGTTTTCCCAGCACCATTTATTAAATAGCAAATCCTTTCCCCATTGCTTGTTTTTCTCAGGTTTGTCAAAGATCAGATAGTTGTAGATATGCGGCGTTATTTCTGAGGGCTCTGTTCTGTTCCATTGATCTATATCTCTGTTTTGGTACCAGTACCGTGCTGTTTTGGTTACTGTAGCCTTGTAGTATAGTTTGAAGTCAGGTAGCGTGATGCCTCCAGCTTTGTTCTTTTGGCTTAGGATTGACTTGGCGATGCGGGCTCTTTTCTGGTTCCATATGAACTTTAAAGTAGTTTTTTCCAATTCTGTGAAGAAAGTCATTGGTAGCTTGATGGGGATGGCATTGAATCTGTAAATTACCTTGGGCAGTATGGCCATTTTCATGATATTGATTCTTCCTACCCATGAGCATGGAATGTTCTTCCATTTGTTTATATCCTCTTTTATTTCCTTGAGCAGTGGTTTGTAGTTCTCCTTGAAGAGGTCCTTCACATCCCTTGTAAGTTGGATTCCTAGGTATTTTATTCTCTTTGAAGCAATTGTGAATGGGAGTTCACTCATGATTTGGCTCTCTGTTTGTCTGTTATTGGTGTATAAGAATGCTTGTGATTTTTGTACATTGATTTTGTATCCTGAGACTTTGCTGAAGTTGCTTATCAGCTTAAGATTTTGGGCTGAGACAATGGGGTTTTCTAGATATACAATCATGTCATCTGCAAACAGGGACAATTTGACTTTCTCCTTTCCTAATTGAATACCCTTTATTTCCTTCTCCTGCCTGATTGCCCTGGCCAGAACTTCCAACACTATGTTGAATAGGAGTGGTGAGAGAGGGCATCCCTGTCTTGTGCCAGTTTTCAAAGGGAATGCTTCCAGTTTTTGCCCATTCAGTATGATATTGGCTGTGGGTTTGTCATAGATAGCTCTTATTATTTTGAAATACATCCCATCAATACCTAATTTATTGAGAGTTTTTAGCATGAAGGGTTGTTGAATTTTGTCAAAGGCTTTTTCTGCATCTATTGAGATAATCATGTGGTTTTTGTCTTTGGCTCTGTTTATATGCTGGATTACATTTATTGATTTGCGTATATTGAACCAGCCTTGCATCCCAGGGATGAAGCCCACTTGATCATGGTGGATAAGCTTTTTGATGTGCTGCTGGATTCGTTTTGTCAGTATTTTATTGAGGATTTTTGCATCAATGTTCATCAAGGATATTGGTCTAAAATTCTCTTTTTTTGTTGTGTCTCTGCCTGGCTTTGGTATCAGAATGATGCTGGCCTCATAAAATGAGTTAGGGAGGATTCCCTCTTTTTCTATTGATTGGAATAGTTTCAGAAGGAATGGTACCAGTTCCTCCTTGTACCTCTGGTAGAATTCAGGTGTGAATCCATCTGGTCCTGGACTCTTTTTGGTTGGTAAGCTATTGATTATTGCCACAGTTTCAGATCCTGTTATTGGTCTATTCCGAGATTCAACTTCTTCCTGGTTTAGTCTTGGGAGAGTGTATGTGTCGAGGAATTTATCCATTTCTTCTAGATTTTCTAGTTTATTGGCGTAGAGTTCTTTGTAGTATTCTCTGATGGTAGTTTGTATTTCTGTGGGATCGGTGGTGATATCCCCTTTATCATTTTTTATTGCGTCTATTAGATTCTTCTCTCTTTTTTTCTTTATTAGTCTTGCTAGCGGTCTATCAATTTTGTTGATCCTTTCAAAAAACCAGCTCCTGGAATCATTACTTTTTTGAAGGGTTTTTTGTGTCTCTATTTCCTTCAGTTCTGCTCCGATCTTAGTTATTTCTTGCCTTCTGCTAGCTTTTGAATGTGTTTGTTCTTGCTTTTCTAGTTCTTTTAATTGTGATGTTAGGGTGTCAATTTTGGATCTTTCCTGCTTTCTCTTGTGGGCATTTAGTGCTATAAATTTCCCTCTACACACTGCTTTGAATGTGTCCCAGAGATTCTGGTGTGTTGTGTCTTTGTTCTCATTGGTTTCAAAGAACATCTTTATTTCGGCCTTCATTTCATTATGTACCCAGTAGTCATTCAGGAGCAGGTTGTTCAGTTTCCATGTAGTTGCGTGGTTTTGAGTGAGATTCTTAATCCTGAGTTCTAGTTTGATTGCACTGTGGTCTGAGAGATAGTTTGTTATAATTTCTGTTCTTTTACATCTGCTGAGGAGAGCTTTGCTTCCAAGTATGTGGTCAATTTTGGACTAGGTGTGGTGTGGTGCTGAAAAAAATGTATATTCTGTTGATTTGGGGTGGAGAGTTCTGTAGATGTTTATTAGGTCCGCTTGGTGCAGAGCTGAGTTTAATTCCTGGGTATCCTTGTTGACTTTCTGTCTCGTTGATCTGTCTAATGTTGACAGTGGGGTGTTAAAGTCTCCCATTATTAATGTGTGGGAGTCTAAGTCTCTTTGTAGGTCACTCAGGACTTGCTTTATGAATCTTGGTGCTCCTGTATTGGGTGCATATATATTTAGGATAGTTAGCTCTTCTTGTTGAATTGATCCCTTTACCATTATGTAATGGCCTTCTTTGTCTCTTTTGATCTTTGTTGGTTTAAAGTCTGTTTTATCAGAGACTAGGATTGCAACCCCTGCCTTTTTTTTGTTTTCCATTTGCTTGGTAGATCTTCCTCCATCCTTTTATTTTGAGCTTATGTGTGTCTCTGCACGTGAGATGGGTTTCCTGAATACAGCACACTGATGGGTCTTGACTCTCCAATTTGCCAGTCTGTGTCTTTTAATTGGAGCATTTAGTCCATTTACATTTAAAGTTAATATTGTTATGTGTGAATTTGATCCTGTCATTATGATGTTAGCTGGTTATTTTGCTCGTTAGTTGATGCAGTTTCTTCCTAGTCTCGATGGTCTTTACATTTTGGCATGATTTTGCAGCGGCTGGTACTGGTTGTTCCTTTCCATGTTTAGTGCTTCCTTCAGGAGCTCTTTTAGGGCAGGCCTGGTGGTGACAAAATCTCTCAGCATTTGCTTGTCTGTAAAGTATTTTATTTCTCCTTCGCTTATGAAGCTTAGTTTGGCTGGATATGAAATTCTGGGTTGAAAATTCTTTTCTTTAAGAATGTTGAATATTGGCCCTGACTCTCTTCTGGCTTGTAGGGTTTCTGCCGAGAGATCCGCTGTTAGTCTGATGGGCTTCCCTTTGAGGGTAACCCGACCTTTCTCTCTGGCTGCCCTTAACATTTTTTCCTTCATTTCAACTTTGGTGAATCTGACAATTATGTGTCTTGGAGTTGCTCTTCTCGAGGAGTATCTTTGTGGCGTTCTCTGTATTTCCTGAATCTGAACGTTGGCCTGCCTTGCTAGATTGGGGAAGTTCTCCTGGATAATATCCTGCAGAGTGTTTTCCAACTTGGTTCCATTCTCCCTGTCACTTTCAGGTACACCAATCAGACATAGATTTGGTCTTTTCACATAGTCCCATATTTCTTGGAGGCTTTGCTCATTTCTTTTTATTCTTTTTTCTCTAAACTTGCCGTCTCGCTTCATTTCATTCATTTCATTTTCCATCGCTGATACCCTTTCTTCCAGTTGATCGCATCGGCTCCTGAGGCTTCTGCATTCTTCACGTAGTTCTCGAGCCTTGGTTTTCAGCTCCATCAGCTCCTTTAAGCACTTCTCTGTATTGGTTATTCTAGTTATACATTCTTCTAAATTTTTTTCAAAGTTTTCCACTTCTTTGCCTTTGGTTTGAATGTCCTCCCGTAGCTCAGAGTAATTTGATCGTCTGAAGGCTTCTTCTCTCAGCTCGTCAAAGTCATTCTCCATCCAGCTTTGTTCTGTTGCTGGTGAGGAACTGCGTTCCTTTGGAGGAGGAGAGGCGCTCTGCTTTTTAGAGTTTCCAGTTTTTCTGTTCTGTTTTTTCCCCATCTTTGTGGTTTTATTTACTTTTGGTCTTTGATGATGATGTTGTACAGATGGGTTTTTGGTGTGGATGTCCTTTCTGTTTGTTAGTTTTCCTTCTAACAGACAGGACCCTCAGCTGCAGGTCTGTTGGAATACCCTGCCGTGTGAGGTGTCAGTGTGCCCCTGCTGGGGGGTGCCTCCCAGTTAGGCTGCTCAGGGGTCAGGGGTCAGGGACCCACTTGAGGAGGCAGTCTGCCCGTTCTCAGATCTCCAGCTGCGTGCTGGGAGAACCACTGCTCTCTTCAAAGCTGTCAGACAGGGACATTTAAGTCTGCAGAGGTTACTGCTGTCTTTTTGTTTGTCTGTGCCCTGCTCCCAGAGGTGGAGCCTACAGAGGCAGACAGGCCTCCTTGAGCTGTGGTGGGCTCCGCCCAGTTCGAGCTTCCTGGCTGCTTTGTTTACCTAATCAAGCCTGGGCAATGGCGGGCGCCCCTCCCCCAGCCTCGCTGCTGCCTTGCAGTTTGATCTCAGACTGCTGTGCTAGCAGTCAGCGAGACTCCGTGGGCATAGGACCCTCCAAGCCAGGTGTGGGATATAATCTCGTGGTGTGCCATTTTTTAAGCCCGTCGGAAAAGCGCAGTATTCGGGTGGGAGTGACCTGATTTTCCAGGTGCCGTCCGTCACCCCTTTCTTTGACTCGGAAAGGGAACTCCCTGAACCCTTGCGCTTCCCAAGTGAGGCAATGCCTCGCCCTGCTTCGGCTCGCACACAGTGCACGCAGCCACTGACCTGCGCCCACTGTCTGGCACTTCCTAAAGAGATGAACCCCGTACCTCAGATGGAAATGCAGAAATCACCGTCTTCTGCGTCGCTCACGCTGGGAGCTGTAGACGGGAGCTGTTCCTATTCGGCCATCTTGGCTCCTCCCCAGATCAGGGGTTTCTATTGATGATGCACACCTGCCATATTCTGGGGAATTGTCTAACTTGGAGGCTGTAGGCTCCCTGTGGAGATCCTGGTTCAGTAGGTGTGGGGTTGGGTCCAGACATCTCAGCTGATTCTGACACCACTCCTTGCTTAAAAACATTACCCTAGGATGATCTCTCTGGCTGCTAGGGCTTTATGGCCTGTGGCCTTTAGCATAGAAGTTTCTTACTCTAATAAATCCCCAGCTTACTGGTGTGCCCTAGGAATGGGTTATGGTGGTTGTCCATTCTTATTAACTAGGGTTTAAGAGAAGAACCAATCCATATGAAGTTCCCAAAATATGCCCATACCTTCTCTGCCCAGGTGAGTTTCCTACATGCTCTTTGGTAATTGGCTTTGTTATCCACTGCTGCATAACAAATGACCCTGAAATTTAGCAGCCTAAAGCAACACACATCTATTCCCATATGGCTTTTGTGGGACAAGGATACAGGCATATCTTAGTGAGATCCTCTGCTTCAGGGTGTCTTACAAGGCTGCCATTAAAGCGTTGGCCAGGGTCACAGTCATCTCAAGGTTCAACTAGAGCAGGATCTGTTCCAAGCTCACTCAGCAGTTGTTGGCAGGATTTGGTTCCTCGCAGGCTGTTGGCCAGAGGCTGCCCTCAGTCCCCTGCCATGTGGGCCTCTCCAGCATCACTGCTTGCTTCACCCAGGCAAGTAAGCCCGGATGGCAAGCGTGCCACCAAGACGGAAGTCACAGTCTTTTATAAACTCATCTCAGTTATAAATTACTTGCCCTTGCTTTTGGCATATTTTATTTTAGAGAAGCAAGGCATCAGGTGTAGCCAGCACTCAAAGAATTAATGTCAGGAGGCAGCAATTGCTGGGAGCCATTTTAGAATCTGCCAACCACAGGAACTGTTATATTCTAAGCAGGTATCTGTTTCCCCTTCATCCAGAAAGCCCTTCAGTGATGGGAATTAGTTCAAGGTCATCATTATAAAATCCATTACCGCAGACTGCTATAGACTTGGAAAGTAAAGAGTCGAGTGTGTGCAGCCCCAGAAGCTCCTCTGGTGTTGGATCTGTTTGTTTCTGCAATGCTCTTGTGGCCTCCTATAGTTACGATGTGGCTCTTTTGTTGAAGCACTTTTGCTCCACACTGGGAAAGAGAAGGGAGGTCATGGGTAAATCAAGCCATCTATAGAAGACATTCTGATGGCTCCTAAGCTCTGTGTCCAGGCTCTGTTGAAACCAGGCCTGCAAAGAAGAATGAGAACAGGCATGTTCACCAGCAACCTCTCTCCTATGTAGTGAAACAGGTACTGCACTAAAGTAAATATAAGAGAGCCTGGGATCGTCCTCATCTGTCCTCTGTCGCCCTCAGTGTATGTGCCTGTCTTTGAGCTCCCTGGTGGCAAGAAACTTATCTCTTCTTTATCCCCACTGCTGGGCTGGGCATTTCAGCCTCTCAGTGGGCGTTTTCCTAAATGGATGATTGAAAAACTATTCCTTGTCTGGGACAAGTGACATTATTTATGTTTTCCTACCCTTATAAAGTCACAGAATGCAGGTGGTGTTGGGTGTTTCTCAAACACCCAAAGGAATGGGGGCAAAGGAATAAAGGCCTCAGCCCCAGGGGGACAAACACACCTCATCTCAGCCTATTTTGATGTGGCTTAGTTGTCCCCCTGGCCTCCCTCTTATAGCCAAAGCCCTTGGGGTGATAACGAAGAGTCACCTTAAAGGATGTGGAGGGTAGTCTGCTAAAGGAGATGGGATGGTTCTCATGTGAGCTGCTGTGCCTGTGTCTTAAAGCCTCCTTAGTGGAAAATGGAGGTTCAAAACTCTGATGGTGCAAATAGGAATCTCTACAACTGTGCAGAGTTATCCAAATGCTCTCTAGCCACTAACCTGAGGGTGATGCAGCCAAAGCAAGAGGAGTTGGGGATTTAAAAGTGAGCAAAGCAGCCATTCTGAACCTCCACCAGTTCGAGGCAAAGCTGACAATCACTGGATGGGATAGTGACATTCTCCAGCCCCAGGGATGCCTTTGCCTGCAGGTGTGCAGCAGAGAATGTGTGTAGCCAAGCTTTCCCTGGCTGTCTGATGTTTTGGTAGATGCTGAATGAGAGCCCTCAGTCAAATCCGAATATTGAGTTTGAATGCCAAAAGGTAGTAACCTGGACTAGCACACTTAGTAGGTCACCAGTAGCTGTGGGTGAAGGTGAAAGTTTGTCAAATGCTATCAGCCTATGACAACAAAAAAGACCCACACTCTAAGGATCTTAAAGGCTCACAAGATTTAGACCTCAAACCATGCTTGGAGAATCATCACCCTAGAGCAGTCTCACCATCCTGCCAGGTGAGGAAGTGGCCAGGTGTGGCAGAAGCCCCGTCCCCCAAGGTTGCATCTGGTAGTGGAAACAGTATGCACATCTGAGTGTTTTATTGGTGTGATGTGTGTATTAAAGGAAATGGAATTTGTATATATATACACACACACACATATATATACACACATATATACATACACATATATGAGCATATATATAATCATATATGTATTAAAGGAAATGGAATTTATATATATACACACACATATATATATACTCACATATATACACACATATATGAGCATATACATACTCATATATATGTATTAAAGGAAAGGGAATTTATATATATATGAATATATTTATTATATATATGTTGTGTGTTTGTGTACACATGTTGGCATATATATATGTTGTGTGTGTGTGTATACATATAGGCATAGCAGGCATGCTCTACTATGTGGATTAGAGTTGAAGTCATGGTGGTGTTGAGTGAATGGGGAGAAATGGGATTTTTTAGGTAAAACTGAGCTCAATATGGGTGGCTGAGACTGGTGCCATGTTGGATCTGAGACTCACTCTCTTGAGTGATCTGAGACTCACTCACAGTTTCCTTCTGTACTTTGTAATTTCTCCCTGTGAGCTCATTTTCAGCAGGAGTTTCTTCCTCTAGGTATCCCAGGTGCCCCGCTTGTGGAGGCATGCCTCAGGAAAGGTTTGCCTTTGCCTCTGCCGGGGTCCTAGTGAGTTTCATAGACTCCAAATGGACTTATACATTGATTTCTCTGTTGGTTGTTTCCACACTGTGAGTGATGAGAATTTGGACCCCACCTCTATTACTTGGCACAAGCTTGGATTTTGGTCTTCCCCAGATTATCATTTTTCTACCCAAAATTTTAGTCCTGCTCCATGCCATCACCACTCCTCCAGCTGGTGGATGGGGTGTGTCTAGCTCTCTAAACATACAACGATAGTAGGGCCCCATTTCTGGCCTCTGCCACCCAAGAGGCTGTGATTTTCACATCTGCCCCTGACTGGGTGTTAAAGCCCCAGCCCCGTCGATATGCATCTGGCTTCAATTCCCCTTCAGCGCTCATTCATGACTCTGACTCTGAATTCCCATTTGTTTTTAGAATCTGGAATTTCTCCCTTTTTCCTTTCAAATGCAGCTGTGATTTCAAATTGTTTTATCCAATATTTATATATGTGGGGGAAAGGGAGCTCCCTGTGCCAGCTCAGACCAAAATCCCTTAGTGCTGTAATTAGCTGTCACCGCTGTCTTTCCCACCGGCTGTGGGACCATATCTTATTGTAGACACTCAATAAATTTCTATGAATGAGTGAGAGAATAAGCCTGTGATTCTTTAGTACCACTTTCTAATTACCTCCTGGCTACAGTTATCAAACGTTAAAGTTTTAAAAAGACAGCAAAAGCAGAAACAGAGGACCGAGAAGACAAATTTATAACAATAAAAATCTTGTTGTAATACACATAGATTTAGGGATCATGCATATTTTACTTCATAATGACAGAGTTTAATACTGAAAATGCTAACTGGAAAGAACTATCAGTAATGGAAGTCTTTAACACTTCAGTAGAGCCCCAAAAGACAGAATTTATTCTTATAAACTCTGGGGGATGGTGATGGAAGGGTTGAGGGGAAGCCCTGTATTTCATCTGCATGAATCTCAGGCAGATTCACTCACATCTGGCAACCCGAGTCCTGGCTGGCCTTCAAAGAGAGGTCCACCTTGTACCTGCGGTCCACCATAGTTTACCCATAGTAAAGTTACCCGTAATAGAGTTAAGTGGACTTGGTTTCCCCAACTCCACACACTGAGCCATCATCCTGCCCTAATCCATCCATTCTCTTAGCACCCAGGACAGCATCTGGCACATAAGGGTATGGTGAAGTTTTGTGGGTTATATGAAAAGCCTAGCAGCTGTGCAGACGTGACCTCTGCGACGCCCCACGTGGCAGATGGGAGCCTCTTTTCCCGCATCATCCAGAGCTAACCGCCCGAGCTCCCTCGTGGTCTGTGGACTCTGGCGGCCCAACTCGGATTAGCAGACTCCAAAGCTCTGAGCACTTTTCCATTTGCCATGGAGCCGACTAATTTAATGAAGCCGTCACAGTGCAAACCTCAGGGCTTATTGGAAAAGGACTTGAGCACGACATTATTTCACAGCAGTAGATTGCATCATTTTCATTTCACAGCTTTCCAATGGGAAATAATAAAACAAAATTACAAACATAATGAAGGAAGAAAGAAGGAGGAAAAAAAAAAAAACCTTGGGTGAGAGACGCATCTTCTATGCTGTGTCAGGGCTGGTTACCTTATTCATTTGAGCCAGTAAATATTACCTGGCCTCACTCTGCAGGAAGGAGCAGCCCAGAATGCCTGCACCTGCTACTGAAGATAACAGGCTGCAATAATTCACTGTCCAGATGCAGCAAGGAGCGGTGAGTGCCCCTAGAGATGGCCAGCTGGATGGTCCTCCAAGAAATTCCAGCTTCCCAGAGCGGAGCCTTCCCTGGGTCAGCCACAGTGCTGGGGCAAAGGGCTGCCATTGGTGAGGGGGTGGTGGGTCCTTCCCTCTGGAAGACAAAGCAGCTTCAACAACGGAGCTTCACCCATTCCTGGGATGAAGGAAGGAAAATGGGTTCCCGCCTCCATTCATCTTGCAGGATGCTTTTAGTGTGACCATGTGTGACCTGACAGCCAGATGCTAAATAGGAGTCAACAGAGAGATGAAGCTCTTTCCAAAAGCTGTTCTCATTAATAGCACTGAGGTGTGCAGATGGAGGGTGGCAACAGAGCTCGGCTTGGCCTTCTATTTTATTCTGCAAGCCTGCGCTTCAGCTCAAGAGATGTCCCAGGCCTGTCCCTACAGCAAGAAAATAGCGCCCCTCCATTCTACCCAGGCCCCAAATTCCTTTCGTTTCACTGAAAGTAGCTTTTCTTCTCCAATAGTGGAAGAGTTTGAGGACATCCAGGATGAGCTCCCTCTTCTTTGCCTCCAGAGTCTCCTCCAAGGTTGCCTCTCGATTCCCCTTCCCTTCTTGATCCCTCACTTTGCCTCCCCCTCTGCCAACCCCTCCCCAGCAACTGAGTGGCAGAAACATCTCTCCTACCCTGAATTAAAGCAAAAAGCCTTTCTGTGAGCCTGAGCTTATCTTTCACTTTGATTGACATGCCCCACTAAAGCATAAAGGCTAGTTCTATGGGCTCTGGTGGTAGATAATACAGGTTCAAACCCTGGCTCCTCTAGTTCTCAGCTGTGTGACTAAGAGCAAGTTACTTAACTTGACTGAACTCAATTTTTCTCCTCTGTGAAGGAGCTAATAATCACACCTGTCTCATAATTTTACCGTGAGATTGATTGAAATGATTCATGAGGTTCTCAGTACAGAGCCAGGCACCTATATATGTCCTCAGAAATGTTTGTCATCCTTGTAGTTCATCGTGAGGATTAAACATCAGGTCCCAGAGCGGAGGGCAGGGTCTGTGAGTGTCGAGGGATGACCCCTTGTCTGAGTCTGTGCAAGCTGCTATAACATGTCATACCCTGGGTGGTTTTAACAAAGAAACATTTATTTCTCATAGTTGTGGAGGCTGGGAAGTCCAAGATTAAGGTCCCTACACATTCAGTGTCTGATGAGGGCCCACTTTCTCCCTGTGTCCTCACTTGGCAAAACGAGGACGAGAGAGCTCACTCTCTGGGGGTCCCTTTTATAAGGGCACTAATCCCACTCACAGGGGCTCCACCCTCATGATCTAATCATCTCCCCAAGGCTGCACTCCTTAACACCCTCACCTTGGGAGTTAGGATTTTAACATATGAGTTTGAGGGACAAAAACCTTCAGTTCATTGCACTCTTCAATCCTCAGAGGTCCATTAGAGGCCAGGCTGAGACTCCCCTGTGGGGTTGCCTGGGGCATGGAGTCCTGGAGAAGACTCAGACCCTGCAAGCACCGCTCATTTGTCCCAAACAGGTTAAGATCAGGAGGGAAAGTAAACAGAAAAGGGCAGTAAGGATCAGCTCTGGGAATGGTGTCCCCTGCTGGTTTGCGCCCTTTAGTTGCATGCAGTTCTTAGGCAGTCCCAGCGGTCTGTGTTCCTTTCCCGCCTCTGCACAGGAAACGGGTCCCGGCCTCCTCTGCTGAGCCCTGTGGAGAAGCTACGCCATGCGCAGTGTGTGTGCGTTGCCGAAGAAAACGGCAGGAGACACCACAAAAGGACCTGGAGGCGGGGCTCAGCACCCCCAGAAGCTCCCTTCTTCTCATGGGGAGGCCGTGCCTCTCACCAACATTTAGGGAATATCGCCAGCTCCAGCTCTGCTTCTTACCCTTAGTTAGAAACTTCTGGTCTGACCCACGAGTTCAGCTCTCGCGCCTGAATTCTGCCTCTCTTCAGCCTGGCACCTGCATGATTTTCAGTTTGGGAGCTACCCCAGATGTGCCAGAGTCCAGCCTGGGCTTCTACTGCCTACCCAGGGGGCATCTGTTTGGGGTGTGGGGTCTGCTTCATCTTGCCAAACCGGGGGCAGGAGTCTTAGACCCACTGGAGCTTTGGATCCTTTACCTCCTGTCCCCTTGCTCTGGACACCTGGCCCAGCTGCGTCCTAGGAGGTAAGAACAACGGGAGCACAAGCACAGAAACAAGAAAGGGCAGGCCTTTTCTCAGAGAATGGAGAGCAAGTCAACAAGCCTGTGGTGTAGGAGACATGGAAAAAAGTGGGGGGCAGGTAAAGCTGGGAAGGGGACCTTGAATGCAAGGCAGAGGATTCTGCACTTAATCGAGTAAAGTAGCGGTGAGCCACTGAAGGCTTTGGAGCAAGGGCGTAGCATTGTAAGAAGGATGTGAGAAGAGGAAGATTGACTGAGTAGCATGGAGGAAGGTGTTTTGCAGGTAAGATTCGGAGAAGGCGGGGCCTGTTAAAGACTCCAGAGATGTGAGACCTGAACTATGTTACTGACAGTCAGAGCAAAAAAAATAGACAATGGCTATTTTTCCAATTGTGGGGGTGGATGTGGGAGACAGAGGAGAAGAGGGAGGGGGAAAGATGGAGCAAGGTGAGAGAATGGCCTTCATGCCAAGTAGATCCTGCTGAGCCTACTGGGTAAATTCCTTCATGGCACCCATACTTAATGGATCCATTTGAGTATCCAATAACCAGGCTTAATTTCTTAATTGCAAAACACACACACACAAGAGAAATACTAGTAGCGTAGCAACCACTTATACAGTGCTTGCTTGGTCCCCAGCATTGTTCTTAGAGTTTTAAGGAATTTACCTTAGTCAATGCACATAAAAATAGTAGCTATATAATAATAGCTACTCTTATTGTCTCCATCTTAGAAGTGAGTAACTTGAGAACCAAGCGGGTTAAGTAACTTGTCCAAAGTCATAACTTGTAGTAGAGGTGAAATTCAAGTCCAAGAAGTCCACTCTTGAGTTCTGGGTTCTGGTTCTAGGCTCTGCTGCCTCTCACACTGAAGATAAAATAACAAATAACTCATCTTCTTATCAGAAAGAAAATGTGACAAATACAGTTGAAGTCCCTTGTGGAAAACACTTTCATGAGCTGACTTTTAAAACTGAGTAGTTCTACATCACTCACAACTGGTTAACCCCACTGACTCAGAGTCATTCATCATGGGTCATTTGTTAGGTAGGGAAGGGAGAGGGGATGTAGCATTTCGTGAGCTGCTATTACATGCCAATGCTATGTTTATGTGTTTTATGTTCACTCTTTTATTTACTGCGAGCAGTATTCCAGATAGATATTATCATCAGCTTTACAGATGAGGAAGTTGAGCCTCAGAGAAATTAAATAACTGGTCGAGGTTGCCCAGGTGATATATGGCAGAGTGGGGGCCTCTTCTCAGTGGCCATGCCTCCCAATTGACGTGGCATCAGCCCCCCAAATGTATATGTAAATCACTGAGCAATAAATATTTACCAGACACCTGCTATATAACAGGTACTATGCCAGAAAGTGGCCACCAGTCCTTGCCTTCAGGGACAACAAGCATGGGAGAGGAGGTTTTCTTTGAGAGAGAGAGCAGGGAAAGAGAAGGTGGGAGGGAGGATGTGCTTGGTGGGATCGCTGCTATCCCAGAGGTTGCTTGAGAACAAGGGGCACAGAGCAGGGAAAGGAAAAGCTTTGCAGAGAATTGGAGGGCTGAGTTGTGAGGCTGCCAGGACAAGGGGAAGAAAGGGCAGAATTCTAAGTACAGGAGCCCACATTTGCTTCCCCACACTACCTTTGAGTAGCGTGATTAATCCTCACTGTAATATCCTTGAGGCATTATTTTTATGAACTTTACACTAATTGTTTAGAGGTTGGAGAAGAACACTGGACTAAAGGAAGGGGGAACTCTGCTCAAGGAGTTGCTTTCTGTGCCCCCAGCAGGAGGGCTGTGGGAGGCAGGCATCCCCTTTGTGTCCCCATAGCACCCTTGTGTCCTTGTGGAACACTTTGTGTCTCCGTGTCCTTCTGTGTTCCCAGGGGACTCTCTGCACAGCCCATCTTAACACTTACTCCATTACCTGCATGTCCTCTGTCCATGTGTCGGTTCCCCCACCCCTACTGTGTGTAAGCTCCTCAGAGAATGGGACCCCCCACTGCCTCTGTCAGGGTCTGGCTCTCAAAGGTGCTTGTCAAATTGAACCTGAATAGAGCCAGCCAGGTCTTCAAGATGCAGCTGCTCCTTCATCTGCTTCCATATCTAATCAAACAGGTCAAGATTATTTCTCTATCCAGAATAGGTCCTTGCAACTTGGATAGCACAAAGAGGCTATAGTGCATTCTAACTACCAAGAACTCTTTCTGTGGGGTCATGAAGCTGATGAAAAACTCTCAGACCCAGCCTCTGCCAATGGACAGTCAGGTGCTCCTGTGCTGCTGCTCTGGGGAACTGATAGTACAAACCCAGCAGAAGCCTCGGAACATTCCAAAGCTGCCTGGAGGGAGCGGGGTCAGAGAGGACTCTCCCACTGTCCTCAGTGTTCCCTGGGATCCCTGAGGGGGCTGGCCATCTAAGAATGGGGGGCCGTAGGCTAAGAGTCCAGAGGGATGACCACTCACCACCCTCCCCTGCAACAGCTGGCTTCAAGACATACAGACCAAGGCAGCTTCAGGGTAATAGCCAACCAGAGCTGGCCACAGGCAGATGTGTTCCAACCACCGGAAGTAGTTCAGCTTTCAGAGCCAGAAGCTACAATGTCAGAGGCATGACTTGAAGATTTCATCCCTTCAGCTGCTGGGAATTCTCCATTATAAAACAAGCAATTCCTGTAAAAACAAGTGTGATGATCTCTGCCTCTTCTCTGTCGAGTCTTTCTAACTTCAACAGCCCAACTATATTGCCTTGAATTCTGTATTTCTGTGGCAGAATGAAAAAAAGGTCTAGAATACTGAGCATGAACAGAACTTTGAACAGAGGATCTCTAGTCCAACTGCAGCTTCATGCAGCCCTGTCCCCAAACTATAGCAACTACTTACTTCCATTTTTAAAACAACTTTAGAAATCATTATTAATTTACTCAAATCCAATCAATAATTAGTGGACACCTACTAAGTGCAAGTAACCAGGTCTACTGAGGCTACAGTGAGCTAAGATCTTCAGACCCTGCCTGTAACTGCTGTGAGAGGAAGGTGGTGTTATCCTGATCCACAGGGCAAGAAACAGTGCTCAGAGAAGTGCAATAACTTATCAAAGGCCACACAGCAAGTAAGGGGGCAGGCAGAGCTGGAACCCACTTAGCTACAGATTCCAGGCCCCTCTTCTCTTTCCTTTTCGGCCCCTGTTCTCTTTCCTTTTCGCCTAGAAAGTTGCACTTTTAGAAAAATCTAATTTAAAAAACATGAGAATAATATTATATATAGTGTAACTGAGAAGCTCAAGATGTAACATATTTTTCAAATTGTCTTTTCCAATCAAGACAAGAAAAGCTAAGGTTGTGAGATGACAATACTTTGGCCAGTTTGATTGAATAAAAGGATATTCAACCCACTAAAGGGCCATGCCAGCTAGCTTGGTCTCTTTAAAAAGCTCAAGTTTCTATTTTTTTTTTTTTAATCAAGGTAATAGTTGTTTGAAGTGATGCTTACATATAGAAATCCCCTACTCCGCAACGACTCCCTTTCCCCAGAGACAGCCATCCTTCACACTTCTAGGTCCTGCCCCTGGCATTTACCTCGACAATTTAAAAATTATTCTGCTATTTCTTGAAATATGAGTTTTAGACATTATCTATTGACTTCATGCCATGGTAGATAAGGACTTAGTTTTTCCACACCACTGCTCACATTTTTCTCCTTTTATCCTTGTGACATGTTTATAAAATAATTTTTGGTAAAATCAATAATCAGCATTTATGTGCTAAACCAAATAGTGAATTACAATAAACCTCCTTTCTTGTACAATCTTTTGTTTTTCCTGGAATTAATAATAGCCTCAGTATTTTTTTCGCTTCCCTAGTTTTCTATCTTTCATGCTTTTCTCCAAATTTTCCAACATGTCATAATAACACTTTCCATAATCTCAAGCAAATCATCATTTCCTTTTTTTCTTTTCCTTAAGAGCCTTCACTCAGGAGGCTCTCTGATCAAATGTTCCAGTGTTATTAGTTGCTTTCTACATGTGCTGCATAGTAAACATCCTAGGAATTTTCTTCTCCAATCTCTAATTTGTGTTTCCCTCTTTTCTGAAACATAAAACCATGTATCTTCCTATTTCATAACTTACTTCTTTTTCATTTCTTTGTTTTTTTGTTTGCTATACAACATTCTCATGTACATTTCTAAGAATGCATGCATCAGAGGTCAATTTTTTGAATTTGATTTTATAAAGGTATAACATTTGAATTTGAAAAATGTCCTTATTAAATTCTAAGATGAAAATCATTTTTCTTCCGAATCCTGAAGGCATTGTTGTCAAGTTCTATGAAGAGTCCTGAGATTTCACCCTATGTATAAGCTAACAAGTTAGCCTGCCACAGTTTCATGGAGACTGATAGAAGACACAAGACACCTGGATCAGAGATAAAGGCAGTTTAATACTCACAGCAGTGGGAGAAGTCAGGATATCAGCATTGTTTGTACAGATTCCCCTAACCAGGGCCAAATGTTGCCATACCCACACAATGGGTAGCATTACAAGAAAGGAACCCTGAGCTTAGGGAGCCCAAACCTTTATGATGGGCATGCTTGCCTTTTACTCTGGAGGGAAACATTGTTTCTACCTTCCAAGGCTGTTCATTATACCAACATGCTGGAAAAGGTAGTCCAGACAAAGGGCAGTCAGTGCTATTCTCCTGAGACACTGAGAAATGCACAAGACATAATAAATTGCTAAAAATTGTTTTATTGTCCTCTGGTTTCCACTACTGCCCCCAAGCAGTCTGATATCAATGTAATCATTTTCTTTAGCTTGTTACTGTTTCCCCCTGTCCCTGGAAGCTTTTAAACATCTCTTTATACCTGGTTTTCTGATCTTTCCAAATTTCAATTTGGAAACCCTACATCCCGTGTTTTTGGAGTTTTATTCTTATACTATTTCTTTGATTGTTAGATGGCATCTTTCCCTTCATACACCCTTATGGAATTCTCTCATTTTCTTTGGATTTGTTTCTTTGCTTTGTTCTCTTTCAGCTTGGAAGATTTTCTCAAATTTGTAATCATCTATGGCTGTAAGAGTATTTCTAAGAACAAGACACTAAAACAACTGCAAATGCTGTGTCCTGATTAGGCAGCACATACCGTCTGGTGAGCTGAACCATAGGGTGATCGAAGGTGATCTGGCCTTTTCATTGGTGGGATCGCAATAGTCAATATTCGTAGGTGTTCGCTCTTGGTTTCTCCAGTTTCTCTAGCGAACAATCTATTGGTTTCCTGCCTGGGAGATTTATGCCAGGCTTGACTTTCTGGACATAAGGCAGAAGAATAGAGAGAGGTTACCACATTGCAGAAACCACATTTTTGTGGAAGAGAACAAATAAATGCTTTTGATAAACCAAAGCCTCTTGACACTGGTGTCCTCACTGTGCTCTACCCTCATTCTCTCGGGGAGAGGCTGAGACTTCTCTCATAATGCAGGAAGAATCACTTAAAAATAGATTGAATCAACAAGGGGCATGATTCAAAACCTTACCCATCCGCACTGACTGGGCTCTGTCACACAGACACTGCTATTCTTTGAGGGTCTGTCTGCGGGGGCAACACTGATGCAGGACAGCCTGAAGACAGAACTAGGGTTCATGACTGCATTTGCACATGAAGCTGTCTTTGGAAGATGCTGCTTCCCTTTTTCTTTTTATGTAAGCTGACCTTGGTTTCTTGAGCCTCAAGGTGTCATTTGCTTTGCTTTTTAATTTTTTTCTTTACCAAGTGTTTGTTTTATCACATTCAGTTTCTGAGCATCTGTTTCATGAAGACCTTGAAGACCCCCCACCTGTTAGTAAACCCTTATGAAGTCTCTAATTAAGTTTCAAGGCCACTGCTATGATGAAGCCTTCTTCAGACATCACCTGGCTAGCACAGGCACTCACACAGCAGGAAAGCCCGTAATCTCTTCTGACAGTGCATCTGAATCTCAGAATCTCAGTGGCTGGAGCCTGGGAATCTGTATTTTGAGAAAATCCTCTAGGTGATTCTGGTGACCTACTAATTCACAGGGGTCTGTGTGCCCTTTCCTCCCATGTCTCATGCCGGAATTTGGGGTTCTAATATTGTAGCCCATATGTCCCTGGTGCCAACTACCTGCCCACTTGAACATGGGCTGATCCACTGCCCTAGCTAGACAGAGCCTTAATGCCAGACTTTGACTTTTCCATGATCCCTCAACTATGATCCTCCCAGCATGACTTTTCTCTGTCCTCCCACTGGCCTCCTGGTCTCAGGCTGGCTTTATGGACTTACCTGCCCTTGCCAGGCCTCATGTCCTGACCCCTCACCCACCATTCCCCCAACTACCCATGCACTCAAGTCCTAATATCTTTCCCCACTCTGCCTGGACCATACTGATGCCTCCTGTGTATCCTGATGCCTCCAGGTCCAGCGAATAGAAAGGATGATATTGGTAGGTATGTTTTCTCTAATGAGAGATGCAGACAAGGAACACTGAGGAGGAAGTGATGGCTTCAGACTGGCATCTCAGGGAGGTTTCGCACTGAAATAGGATTTCAGCTGGAGTTTTAGTGGGAGAGCATCTTTGTATATTCATAGAAGGGGAAGTCAAATCTAGAAAATACTTCATAAATGCCTCCTATTATTACAATACAAGTACTACTATTACTATTTCTACTAATAATCGTGTATCTCATCATTGAATCTCTACCATTGGATAAGCACAGCATATATATTGATTTACATATATTATTTGAGAGTTTTCAACAACCCTACAAGGGAGACATGATTATCCCCATTTCAGAGATACAGAAAATGAGATACAGAGAAGAATGGTTTTCTCAAGACCTCAAGAGTACTAAGTGCTAAAAGGAAGACTAGCAGCTCAGTCTCCTGACTGATTTCTTCGCGTTTCTCAGTATGTCCCACTGCTTCCCTGAAATTGAAGAATGCAGCTCTCTCCTCTGGGAGGAACAGTCTCCTCTCTATCTTCCCAGAGAGAAATCTGCAAATAAAACTCAAATCAAATCATCCTGTGGGTCCCCGCCCTCAGCATGTAGACCACCGGGCTCCTCCTTTACTGGTGGCCATTACTGTGGTGGGTGAAATGTGGCAAATCGTGATATTGATGATTCAATGGCCAGGAGAGTTGTCTGAAAGGCAGGGTGGCATGGGGAGACCACAGGTTCATTTTCTTCTACACCCCTCTTTTTCATTCCCCAGAGCTTTCTGAGACATTTGCTCCAAGACTAAAAATACTCACGGTTTAATGCAGCCCTAGATCCAAATTATTTTATAAAACTTGTTAAGTGCTTTTAGAGTTAGGCAAGCAAGAAAATACTTGAGTTTTGTTCTAATGAAAGCCATTTTTAACATTTAAAATTATAGAAAACAGCCATACTCCTGCCCTTCAGACTCCACAGTATTTGCCAACGTGCTGTGGTACAAAGGCCTTTAAGTATACAATACATGAAAATCTAGGTTTACAGAAAAGCTAAATTAAAGGAGATTATTTGTTCTGTGCAGGATGCCTTTGTACAGGAATCCCAGAAATTGAAAAACTTGAGTCCCAGGTCTGCCACTCGCTGGCATAACCTGCACCTCAGTGTACACCTCTGTAAAATGGAGAGATGAAGGATGAAGCTGCTTCCCCTCACCCACAAGGTGGTCATGAGAATCTGATGAGATGTGGATTGTAAGCAGTGGGGTTCTATACAAAGGTAAAGCATCTTTGATGAGAGAAGTAGAGGGCTAGGGTAAGGGGAGAAGTCCCTGTCCAGGGTGGCACACCTGGGTTGTTGGTGGGCTGGCCTCCTACCTAGTCAAGCTTGTGAACAGTCTAACCTGGGTCCCCACAGCAATGGGAGGAGGAGCTGTTCCAAGTTCCATTATCCTGCACAGTATACCCCGCAGTCCTGCTATTCAGTTAAACACCGCAGCTCCTGAGTACATTTTAATTTCTGATCATTAGTTACAAGATTTTCTTGTTAATTCTGATTCAGCAGATTTTGCTGAGACAGCTCTATTTTTCTCGCCCTTTATTTTGGTCGTGCTGCACAGTCCCTATCTAGACAGATAATAAATCCGGGTGGCTAACCTCCCTCCCAGGAATGAATCATCTGCAACTCTGAAAAGGACACAGCCGCAGGGGTGGTGACAGGGAGGAGTCCTACTCCCAGGCTTCTTTACAGGTGACTCTGGGGGATCTTCGTGATTCTGGCCCCAGGACACAATCCTGTAAGTAATTACACTGGGAGATAACAAGACTCACCCAGAACTCAACAGTAGGAAAATTGGGAGGTGGGGGTGGAGGGGGGGACAATACAACTCATGGCAATTCAACAAAATAAGGCTCCTGCTTTCTGCCTCTTTTTATTAGATCACAGGTATCATGTGACTGAATTTGCCACAGATTTAGCTAACCTGGGAGACATCACCAGAATTTTGCAACCAGCAAGATTAGTTTGGGGCCCTGCACCCTCCTCTTCTCCTTCTTTCCTTGTGCCTAGTTGCCTGCCAATGGCCATTGGTAGGAACAGGCTTATTCTCCTCCTTTCAGGTAGGCAACTTCCATCCCCACCCCCGGCCTCCCAACCCTACATCTAGGAAAACAATGAGCTCATCCATGCTAAATTGTTGTTCCAGTTGTAACACCCTTCCCAGCGACCAGTGAGATTTGTAGACATTATTAATAAGAGCTAACACTCATGCAGCATTTGCCACATGCTGGCCACTCTTCTTAACCCTTTTTTGATATTAACTATCTTCACTGCCACATCAGCTCTATGAAGTGGGGGTAATAATTACAGTATCCCTATTTTACAGATGAGGAAACTGAGGCACAAAACATCACACTATTCTCTGTAGTCACCCATGTAGTAGGCAGCAGAGCTGGTATTGGGTCCCCAGTTGCAGAGTCCATGCCCTCAGTCCACTGTACTTTATTGATGCAATCTTTTTTTGTCACAAGATGCTGCTAGAGTGGCCTGGTGCAGCAGCAAGCTAGCTCAGTCTTAGAGTGCAGACAGATGGCTAGGCTCAGACCTATGACAGGAATGGGGCTGGAATGGAAGGAACAGACCTAGCAGGTTGGCTCAGAGGAAGCCCCATCTAGTGGAGTCCAATCCAATTAAGTAGCAGTCCAGGCAAGCAATTCATGTCATAGAGGCTGACAAAGGGTAAAAGGATGTCCCAGACCAACAGGTCATGCAGGGAAAGAAACAGCAGTACAGGCATCAAGGACAAGTGCCAGCAGACTACAGGTCCCAGGTTGCACCCCCAGCTGAGGTAGGCATGGGAGCAGGAGTCATGAGTAAGTTAGAAAACCCTACCTCACACTATAAACACAAATTAGCTCAAAAGGTATCAATGACCTAAGAGTAAAAGCCAAAACCAAAAACCCTTGGAAGAAAACTAGGAGTAAATCTTCATGACCTCAGATTTTGCAATGCTTTCTTAGGTATGACATCAAAAGCATGAGCAACAAGAGAAAAAAGAGATAAATTGGACTTCATCAAATGTAAAACTTATGTGCGTCAAAAGGTATTATCAAGAAAGTGAAAATACAATCCACAGATATTGCAAATCGTATCTCTGGAGAGAATTTAATATCCAGAATATATAAAGAACTTTTATTTTACAACTGGACAACAAAAAGACAACTTACCTGAAATAAAACTGGAATTAAATAGACATTTCTCCAAAGAAGACATACAAATGGCCAAAAAGCACATGGAAAGATGCTCAACATTATTAATCACTGGAAAAATGCAAGGCAAACTACCATGAGATACCATGCACTAGGATGGCTATCATATGAAAAATTAATTAAAAAAAAGAAAATAATTATTAGCAAGGATATGAAGAAATTGAAACCGTTACACATTGCTGGTAGGAGTGTAAAATGTCAGCTGCTGTGAAAAATAGTTTGGTGGTTTCTCAAAAAGTTAAACATAGAGTTACCATTTGACCTAGGAATTTCAGCCCCACATATATCCCTGAAAAAAACTGAAAAGAGCTACTTAAATACATGCACAAACACTTTCATAGACTCACTATTCACAGTAGCCAAACGTGGAAACAATTCAAACGTCCATCAATGGAAGAATGGATAAACAAATGGTGGTGTATACATAAAATGAAATATTATTCAGACATGAAAAGTAGTAAAGTACTGATACATGCTACGATGTGGATGAACCTCAAAAACATTTTGCTAAGGTCTCATATTGTATGATTCCATTCATATGAAATATCTGAAAAGTCAATCCATGAAGACAGAAGGCAAACTGGCAGTTGCCAGGGGCTTGGGGAAATGGAAAGTAAATGCTTAATGGTACAGGGTTTTCTCTGGGGGTGATGAAAATGTTTTGGGACAAGATCAAGGTGTTGGTTGTACAAGATTATGAATGTACTAAAGGCCATTAAATTCCTCACCTTAAAATGGTTAGGTTAATTTTTTGTTTTGTGAATTTCACCTCACTCTAAAAAGAAAAATAAAAGAGTAACTTAGGACTTTAGAACATCCATGGCATCAGGCAGGGACCAAGACAGGCTCCCTGTTACTTAAATGGAGGTACAAGTAAGATAGGACGCAAATCTTTCGTACCTGGTGGTAGCCCAGTTATGTGGTACAAGGGGGACCTCAGGCTAAGTCTCACCCTATAGAGCCAGTGCTCCTGGAGCAGGTTTAGCCCTGGAAGAGAGGCAGGGTCAGAGCCAGCAGGAAAAATGATCTGTGTCCAGCCAGGCAGAGAGGAACCTGAGATTCGCTTTTCAGGTGGGAAGTTACCAGCAGCTGCTCCAGGTGGGCAGCGAGGGGAGGCAAAAACGAGTGGCCACAGGACACAGCGCAGCTTCCTGGAATTCAGGCATTTCTGGCCTCTCTCTCTCTCAATTGTTGTGTAAGCCTGGGGGTTTAGACCAAAGCATTTGGTGATGATGAATCTCAAACACAAAGGAACAAGCAGAGGGGGTGGGGAAGTAGGGAGTGTTCTGTTGTTTAGAAAATGAGCAAAACAGCTGGAGGTAAAGCTTTTGTTATAGGCTGCCATCTCTGATTCATGCGTCTTTATAATCCTGACTATGGTTTGAGGCAGCCAGGAAGAGCGAATATTACCTCTCATGCTGCACCCACCAGCATGGGGTTTATTAGAAGTAGACAACCATTTAGCAATGTCAGGAGTGTGCTTATCATTGTGCAGAGTAGGCATTGCCTGAATGGGGAGCCACTTCTTCTTGGATGCCCAAGGGAGTGTGTTCAGAAAGTCCAAGGCCCAGCAGAGGAATTCTGGGGCTCAAAGGGGAAGCTCTGGCTACTAGAAAGGACTGGGTGTCCAGCCTGAAACAGGCATGGAGGCCTCAGCCTGGAGTGAGCAGAGCCAAGCTTTGGCGACAGAGAGTTGGGGGCCTTCCAACTTCCCTCTTCACCATCAGTTGGGAGTAGCAGGAAAGGAGAAATTGTGAAAAGGAACAAGAGGGCTTTGACATCCCCGTTGTATGTACCCACACACTCTCTACCTCCTTCCTGAGGCCATTCCTTCCTTTTCATTTCCCCTCAGTCTGCCTTTTGCTCACAGTCTCTCCAGATCCATCAACTACTTCCCTATCCAAATTCTAATGTCATGGCCAAGCAGAACCACTGCTGGTTTCCGGGATGGCCTGCCACCTGGGCCGTTTCCAGGGTGTTCTCACTACCTCTTCCTGTGACTGCTTCTGGTCCTGCGTGGTGGGTCCTTCCCCTCCACCCCACCTTTCGCCATCTTACCCCACCTGAAAGGCCAGTTTGCATAGTCTCCTTTTTGAAGTCTTTCTTGGTTGCCCAACAAGATATGCCCTCCCTATGGCTGAACAAGCTCTCTTGAAAGCTTATCTTGTGCTGTTTCATATTATGGCTATTTCTGGACTTCTCTTAACCCCCCTTACATACACCTACTTTATGTGTTCACCCCTGGATCATCTCACACCAGCACAGGGGAGACAATAGGTGTTTGTTGGATGGACAGATAAATGAATGAATAAATTCTCCCAACCTGCATCAGGTGGAAGAGTCTCCAGGACACTGTTGAAACATACAAAAATCCCTGTTCCACCAACTGCGCCTCAGCCTGCAGAAAGCCCATCTATAGAGTCTCACTTAGAAAGTGTGTGAGAAGGAAGTAAGGCAGGGGCTCAGGGACCAGGCCCTCCATCTCCCTGGGGAATGTGCTGGCCCTCCCTATGGCATCAAAAGGGACCAGACCCGGAAAGCAAAGACAAAGGAAGTGGATGAATTTCTTTTTATCAAAACTGAGATGGGTCAGTCCTAGGCATACTAGGACATTAGCTAGTGGGGAAGGGCAGAGAACCTGGGCTGGTGGGAGAGGACCGGCAGCAGGAATGTTCAGGACTCAGCAGGTTCCCAATTCCCATTGTCTTTCCAGGTGACTGGAACATGTCAGGCAGGACTGGGCGGTTGGGGGTAGGAGCAGGCCCAGCCAAGTGAGCTGGACCTCTCAATGGGGTCCTCTCCCTGCACAGCCCCTGGGAGTCCATTCAAGAGAGATGGCAGATGCTTGTCTTCCTCATGGTCTGAGCATCACAGCAGGCCAGGGAAGGGAAGACCCGACCAGATGAGCCGCAGGCACACCTGATAAGGGTAGACCACTTAACCCCTGACCCTGGGGTCTAAGCTAGAGGCTACCACTGTGTGCCTGGCTGGGTGTCAGGACTGGCTGGTGCCAGACAGGGCCAGGCCTGTGCCCAAAGGACCCACAGCTCTGCAGGGCTGGCAAAGGAGGGGCTGCTCCCAGCACCCACCCTAAGACCTCTCTTTGCTTGGGCCCTTTCCTCCAACCCTGAATTCCAAGAAACGAAGCAGGAAAGAGGAGAAGTGAGCCAGCAAAGGAGGAAGCAAAGGAGGTAAAGAAGAAAGGAAACCAAGGGAGAGCGGTAGGGATGATGGAGGTTTTTAGGGACCTAAAACATAACTTATGAGGCCTCACTTAAAAATTACAGATGCAAAACTGAGTATTGATTGAGGCTTGGAAGAGATCCAGGCCGGAGAGTGGCCCTAAACCTAAGCTTTATTACCATCCAGGTAAATCAGCCTCTGCCCAGGAATAATTTGTATACAGGAGGTGGGATGGGGGCATGTGGAGGAGGGAAACTGAAGTATCCCATGGAAGTGCTTGAGCGCCCTCCTCCCACCTGCCCTGCATACCTCCCTGACTCCTCCCTAGCATACCTGGCTGGGCTGCCCAAGCTACTCACTCCCATCCTTCCCCCTCCCATCCTTCCCTCTCCTCCCTCCTCCCAATTAAAAAAATCTGTTTTGTATTTCCTGCGTGCAGTACCCTTAATATTAGGTCTGAAAACAATTTGCAATCAGTTGTACTAATTAATCTAATTGAATTTAATTTCCCTTTCTTGGCGTTAGGGGTGAGTGAACTCCATATGCTGACTTATGTAAAGCAATATGCAAATTTGTATCTTGAGCCCAGAGCCCTGCAAATGCTTTTGATTACAAAAAAGGCTACACGGAGGCCCTAGATAAATGAAACACTCACTGCGGCTTCTGGCCTGACACTCCTCTCTTCCAGCAGTGAGATACAATATACCTCTGTTATGCCACCTGTGGCTTGGTTGCCTGTTCCTGTCCCGAAATGGCACTGTTGAGTCCCTGCAACAGGTCCCCATGTACCTGGGTAGCATATTTTCTACTTAAACTCTCAAGAATCTGGGTTCCTCCACTTTGTTCTGCTGCTGATCCTTTTCCCTGGGCCCCTCATTAAGCTCAGGAGTAGATCCTAGCGTTTGCTGGGAAGGCTGTCTGATGAGCACCCTAGTGGTTTGGAGAGGTGGTGGGTGGTACCGGTTGCTCCAGCTCCTCCAGCAGAGGTCAGCTGGAGGCCTTGGGTGGAGGAATCTGGCTAAGCGCAGGGATACCATGCATGTAGCCCCCCAACTACTTCCCTTATCTCCCAGGGAGAGGGGCATGGTGTCACCCATGGATGATATGAGCCACTATTAGCCACAGGCTGAGTCAAGGGTCCCTCGTAGAGCCCTGTTCCGAAGGGCTGCCACATGGGGAGGTGCTGAGAAGAGACACTGGGCACCATGGCTGTGACACACAAAAGGCTTATGCCCCTGGTCTTTCAGCTCAGTTAAAACCCAATGTTTTAGTTTTGTATTTGCTTCCAAATACCACAAAGTATGGGAGGGGAATTGCATGGTGCAGAGAAGAAACAAGATTGGCCATGAGTTAAAAACTGTTGAAGCTGGGTGATGATTCATTGGGGGCATATTATGCTTTTCTATTTCCATATCTTTGTAATTTTCCTTAATAAAAGATTTTTAAAGTCCTAATTCTGAAGCTGGATCTAAAAACTGGACTTACTTCCAACTGAATGGGAGCTACAAAGAGAATGAGAAAAGTCAAAGGAGGCTTTCTTGTCACCTTCTGCCACACCTAGGCCAGTGTGAACAAAGGCCATACTCTCATCCCACCTCCCCAGGCTGGGTAAAGTAGGTGCCATCTGAGTTGCAGAGGGGCAAGGGTGGAGGTGTTGTCCCAGCCACCTGCCAGTCCTGTGACTCTCTGAGTCCACTTATTTGGAAGGACAACAATCCTAAAAGCAGGTACAGCCAGTAAAACAATAATGAAATGGACTATGGTATGGCAGAGAGATAGGAGAGGATGAAGGAAGACCCAGCTGGGTTTTTGTAATGTTCTTGCAAGAAAAAAAAAGTGAGGGTTTGAATTAGGGCAGGGATAATGGATATGGGGAGGAAGGCACAAATTAGAAACATTCCCGAGCATAATCCATAGGATTTAACTTTACCTAGATATGAGATATGGGTGGGCAGGCAGCCTCGGAGACTGCTCCAGAATGCTTAAGTTGGTGGCAAAACCATTCACTGAGACAAGAAACACAGGTCAGGGAGGAGTTTAGGGTAGTTGAGAAGAAAAGCAAATGTTTTTTCTTGTCCAAATTTAATTTCAAGCAACAACAAGAATCCAACTGGAGCTATCCAAGGAGGTTAGGAATTTGAACCTGGAGCTGCAGAAAGAGGTAAGAGCTAGAGAGAAAGATGTGGAGGTCACAGGCATGTCAATGTCAGACCAGTGCATAGGGGAGTGAGGGCATCCTGGGAGAGAAGAGGGCCAAGGAAGGAATCCCAGGGAATCCCAGCATTTAGGCGGCAGGAGGAGGAAATGGACACAGCAAAGAGCAACTGAGATACAAAATAAAAGGAGCAATCCAATTGTGAGAAGCAGAATCAGATAAACAGTCATGGAAGCCACAAGAGGAGAGAATTCCAGAAAGAGTGTTTAATGAGCTCACATGCTGCAGAGATGTAAAATGAGGAGCTCATAAGATTTCATACAAAGGTATCACCATGGACCATGGCAAAAGCTTAAAGAATTTGTGTAAACACATATCTTTTGCACTCAAAAATTATATAATACTTAAGAAACCATTTTTTAAAAATAAAAGTAATTTCCAAGTCTAGGTTTGTTATGCATAAAATTCACCTTCTTAAAATACACCTTTCCTTCTAGTGTATTAAATATACTTGAAACATTATTTAAAAGTGTTCACGAACAATGAACAACTTTCCAATTTAGCCTCTGATGGGAGGAAGAGTGTATTAGTAAGAATAAATGCAGCTGAAAAGGCAGAGGGTGGAAGATAAGAATGGATTCATTAGGGATGACTTAAAGGGGCCCCAAAGGCCTATCCGGCCCCTTCCTCCTTCGTGTAGGACTTCACTTTACCACTGCTATTTAAAAAAATCTTTCCCTTCATCCCACATTTTATTTAACCAAAATTTACTGAAGAAGTAGTGCCAGGCACATACAACATG